>NC_000009.12:40010000-40310000 GCF_000001405.40 Homo sapiens
ATTATGGAGAGACTTGCAGAGACAGAAATGACTGTCACGTGTTCTTATACACATAAAGCCCTAGAAACAGGAGCCACAGCACATCATGCACTGGGGCCATATGGGGAAGTACCAGAGTCAGTGAAGGCAAAAGGAGCAAGACTAAAGCATGAGCCAGAGCCTTTAATATGGTTTTCCTTGGAAGGAATGAGTGAGACAGTGTAAGCAGCTGAGCAGGTTTAAGACTGGGTAGTGTGAGTACTTTTTGTGTAATTTAGTCCCTAGTGTTCCAGCACCTGATTCTGGGGTGACGAAAGCAGAGGGATAATGTCCCAGACCACAGGAGCCATATAATAAGAGTCAAGTGAGGGTGTGGATTCTGGATTGGTTGGTTTGCATATAAATAACATGATCATAGGCAAGTTGTTTAGTATTTCTAGAAATTAGCTAACCCTAGGAGGAGCACTCTGTCTTGAAACCCATATGGTCTCAAGATGTCAAAGCAAAACAAAAACAATAACCATGATTAATACAGCAAGATGGAATAAGCTATATATTGCCTTAAGGAAGAAGTTACTTGGCTCTCTATGGCTGATCGTCATAACCTGAAAGATTTGTTCTCTTGACTTGAGCTGGACAACTGGGGTTTTATTTCTGAAGCATTTTATAGGAACTACTCATTGTTCTTGTTTTTGTCATAGTAGTCATGATGCTGGCCAATTGCATTCAACTCAGTCTTAACTTCCTTTTTATAGCAGCCCTCTCACCAGAAGATCGCCCTTACTACAAAACTGCAAAAAGTTCAAGAACATCTCATAATATGGTTGACAATAGAGACAACTAAACAGTCTCTAAGTCGTGAAGATTTGAATCTCTAAACTTCCCTGAATTGGCTTGGTCAATGCCTCACAAGCTAGTTAATGACAAAATGGGAGGAGGGGTAGCCAGACCATATATAAGAATAGAGTTCTGACCCACATCTTTGTAGCAACCAGCCTGGGAAGCCAAACCACAGCCTCTGCATCAACCAGCCCCAAATGAATAGGATTTAGTTAATGATTGCCAGGTTCCCTATTTTTGCCCCCGCTGCCAACTCAGGACCCATCAGAGAAAGTCAAGTATGCTTTCTGACTGATCACATAAGATGCTCCATTTCCCCTTATTTATTTAGTCCATCTTCAGCTTCCCCATACAACCTTAAGGCAGAGCATATCCAAAAGCTTTCCTTTTCCAGGTACAAAACTTTCCTATTCCTCAGCCTTTCTTTGAGTCTCTGCAAAACATATATGATGACAGCTGACTTTCTTGTTATAAAAAGTCTGAATAAATATAGATTCTCTCTGTTATTATTAGGTGTTATTTATTTCCACAATCTACAAAAAATCTTCAGGCAGGGTACTATTTAAAGGTGCAATATTGAAAAATTCCACATAAAATCAGGAAAAAAGAAATAATGTTCATCTCACTACTGTTCTTCTACACATTACTGTAAGCACTAACCATTATAAAAAGAAGAAAAATAAAGGGCATAATGATCGAATAGGAAAAACAAAATTGTCTTTACTTGAAAATGAGATGATTATGGAAAAAAACCTAAGGAATACATTTCAAAAGCTACTAGAACTAAATAATATATATATATATATATATGAAATTTATAGCAAACAAGGTTAATATATGAAAGTGCATGTTGAGTGTTCCTTATCCAGATATCTGAAATCTGAAATGCTCTAAAAGCTGAAACTTTTTGAGAGCTGACGTGATGCTCAAGGAAATGTTCACTTAAGAATTACAGATTTTGGATTTCTGGATTAGCACTACTGAATTTGTAAGTATAATGTAAATATTCTGAAATCTGAAAATAATTTGAAATCTGAAATACCTCTGGTCCCAAGCATTTTTTAACTCACTATATGTGCTCATTTTTTTTTAACAAATACCTATTAAGCAGACACTATGAACAAAAACTGTGCAAACATTGGAAATACATAAGTAAGCAAGGCAGAAGGGCCTCTTGTATTAAAAATAAACGAAGGAGGACACTAGTTAAAGTGGTAAGGACAGATTTTAATCAGTAATAATGATTGCAACAGGGAAAAGAGTGCAGCATGAGTTGAATTCAACTTCAATTTGTATATTGGCAACTGATTGTTTTATTTTATTTTAGATTCTAGGGGTACATCTGAACGTTTGTCACATGGGTATACTGTGTGATGCTGAATATTGGACTTCTAATGATCTCATCACCTATGTAGTGAACATAAGACCCAATAGATAGTTTTTCAACAGTTGGCCAGCTCCCTCTCTCTTCCCTTTTGGAATCTCCAGTGTTTATGGTTCCCATCTTTGTGTTTTTGGGTACCAAATGTTTACCTCCTACTTATAAGTGAAAACGTGGTATTTAGTTTGCTGTTTTTGCATTAATTCGACAAGCATTTTGGATAAGCAGTTCTTAACCGGTAAAATGTGTTGTTGCATACTAATAATGAATCATTAAAACATAATAATAAATTCTATTCACAATAGAATAATCACAAGCATATAATTCTTAGGAATAAAGGCAACAAAATATGCGTAGGTCTTTTATCTAGAAGCTAAAAAATATTATTGAGAAATTTTAAGAAAAAATAGAAAACGTAGATCTATACATGTTCTTATTGATATGTTATTTATATTAAGATATCCATCCACCTTATATTGATCTACAAATGTATTTCAACTCTGATGAAAATCACATCAGATTTTACTGCAAAATAAAAATAAACAATGTGATGTCAAGATGTATATAAATATGCAGAAAGACAAAGGAACATAGGTAACTTAACCAATCTTGGAAAAGAATATAATCAAAGAAGTAACATTAAATTATTTTAAGATTTTTAAAGCTGCATGTTAAAAAATGGAGCATCCATAAATATGTTTATGTTTAACATAGATGATGAACTGATTTTCTATGAAGACAAAGGACAATAGAAAACACATATTTTTACAACATATCTGAAACAACTAGATAAATTTATGAAAATCAAATTAATTTTTTTATTTCTAACTTTTTCTGTTGCCCAGGCTGGAGTGGTGCAATCATAGCTCACTGCAGCCTCGAACTCCTGGGCTCAAGAAATCCTCCTTCTTCAGTCTCCTAATGCACTGGGGTTACAAATGTGAGTCATCATGCTTAGCCTAACGTCAATGTTTATCCCATATCATTTACAAATTTGCGATGAATCCAATTTGAGATGCTCATAAACATAAATATGAAACATAAATATAAAAACTAATACTATAAAGCATATAAGAGAACAATCTTGCATCTTAGGGGGCAAAATATTACATCTTTAGGGAGGCAAAAATATTTCAGACAAAACAAACAGAAAATGTAGCCATAAAGGAAAAAATTATATAAATAGGGCTTCCTCAAAATAAGATTTTCTACTCATCAAGAGAAAGCATTGAAAAAAATTAAAAGGCAGGACACAGAATCAGAGGAATTATTTTTAATACATACAAATGACTTAGAAGATCTTAATAAGTAGTACTATTCAGTAATAAAATGTCTAACAGCCTCTCCCCAAATAGGCATGGGTCTTGAATATCTTACAAAGGAAGATATGCAATGTCACATGAACAGGCACTGGACATCATTATTCATTAGGAATATGCAAATATACATGACAATGACAGCCATTGCACATTCACTAGAAATTATTTAAAGAAATTTTAAAATACTGACAATACCAAAAATTATAGATATGTAGCAACTGGAAGTCTTTTTGTTTCTTAAGAGTGTAAAATGGGGCAAACACTCCAGAGAACAGTTAATTATTTTCTTATAAAGTTTAAAATATATTTTTCTTTGACCCAGTAAGTTTTTTCTCTGTTACGTATACAAAAGAAATAATAACTGATGCCACGATAAAGATTTATTCAAAACTTATTAGAACAGTTTTATTCTTAAAACTAAACCTTGAAACGACCCAAACAACCTTCAATAAAGGAATGGATACACGAATTGTATATATTCATACAGTGGACACTACAGTACTCAGAATTAACAACAACAACAACAAATCAGATATTGACGTGTAACAAAATGTCTGGGCCTCTATAAAATATTATATTGAATGAAATAAAAAAGTTGAATATCTATTCTTACTATGTTGAACAAATTAAAAAAAATTACATGGCATAAAGTTCCATTTATATGACATTCCAGAAGAGGCAAAACTAATCCATGGTTATGAAAATAAGAATGGATTAAAGATTTGATGTGTGAGTGAGATTTAAGTGGAAAGGCATGAAGGAATTTTTGAGGTGAGGAAAATGCCTGTAGCTTGAATCGGTATTGATTATATGGGTCTTTGTATTTGTCCAAAGTTATTGAATTGTAAACTTTAGATCTGTGCATTTCACAGTTTAAAAAAATTTACCTCACCAGTGAAACTCTGTCTACCTAAAGTCTGCAGAAAGCATAACTCAAGAATTTAACATAAGGTCCCCTAATCACATGAAGGTAAGAAACAGCCATCTTTTAAACATTTAAAAAGTCAGGGGAATAAAAAATCCAGTTTTTTTTTTTTTGAATAACTATTAAACTTATGCCAGTGAAAGAAAATAAAATTAATTTTCACAAAAGTTGATACACATGACTGAGGATTAAATCTATATTGATATTGTTGAGATTAAAATACAACGCAATTTTAATAAACATTTAAAACACGGACATGGTGTCCCTAACAATTTGTTGATAGGGGAGAGGATAATATAAAAATTAATTTTATGAATCCCACATAAGTACTTGTTAAAAACATATGCCTCTGTTCTTTTTATTTAGGAATCACTCACAGAAAGCACACATTCTTTGCTTCTGCACTAACTCTGGAATTCAATATTAGAAGGCTCAACTGCCATGAATATAAATCAAATTCATCTGCATCCCCTATATCAGACTAAATGTGTTTGTTTCTCAGTATTCTGCTATATTCCTTGTATTAATTTTAATAGAATCAAAACTGAGATATGGAAGAGGATGTTATATATTGAACATCTTTTCTTCCATCTAGCATACCCAATATTTGCTGCATGGGCCAGAAATATGAGAATTAGAAATGCGTCTTTATTTGGGGTCCTTACTTCATTCACAATTCTAGATAGTCTTCTAGTTATGACAAAGTCTAAGAATTTTATTTTTAAATAAATTATTATCATATTTTTCTGTTACCATTTTTTGGTTGGTTTTCCATGCAGTTTGTGCCTACTTCCAGGAGGAAGACACCTACACACATTTACTCTTCTCTGCTTTCTTTACAAATTTGAATATGAAAAAGAGAGCCAGGAATTGCCAAAAGCTGGTTACTCCAAGACCCTAGGCATTCTGTCAAAATCTAACTTGGATGATCATGTAAAATACTTATCATTTTATTAATATCAGTATGTTCATTCAAATGGTAACAAGATTTTCACTTGATTTCTAAATCACTGATCTTAAGTGAAAAATATCAAAATAGAGGACTTCACAAATATTATCATTTAGAACATCCTCACTTTAAACAACCTAAAGTTATTTTTAATGTTGAATCAATCATACTCTGACCTTCTCCATAGGAAAGGAAAATGTAAATATCCCAGACAGCAGAGAGCAAACTGTCATAAAAATAAAACTGTACTTTCAAATAGCTGTAGTCCACAGCACAGCTCTAACCCAAATTGTCATTTCAACTGCTTCACATTATTAGAAAATACTTACCTTCTAGCTTTGAACATGAAAGAAAAGTACTCTTAGTCTATCAGTTTCCCTAACTAGGAGATTCATGTATTTGTTGGGGTCATATAAAGAAACTGATAGTGCAATTTAATAAGGATAATGCAGAGAGGATTTGGAGACTCTTTGCAAAGCTGTTGAAGGGATGAGAAAGAACACAAGAGACTGCAGTAACCTTTGGTTAGAGTGATTTTTATCACCCCTAGTTTGAAAGGGCCAGTGGCAAAGCAAGTTTACTAACTTTAGGATAAAGTAGACTCATCAGGAAAAGAGCAACCACCTAAGCTTAAGGGACAAAGCCAATCACCCCTGGGAAGCCAGTGTTAAAAATACTTGATCTTGCTCTCTGCTTTCCTGAGAATACAAATCATTCACTTTAACTCATTGAATTCACTCAGCAGTCAGAAGAAAAGGAAGCCTCTTGTTGGAATTCATACTAAGAAGATCAGAAAGTGTAGTGGAAAAGAGAGGACTAGAACTGCAGGTGCAAGTAGAAGTCAGTGTCCAAAAAGAAGTGTATTTGTATTGTTCATTTGACCTCATTTATTTTAGTATGCAAGCGTATGCTTAAAAATATTTCAGCCTTCTTTTTACTATATATGCAATTCGTCATTATTTATTAAGAGATTATATATTCATCATTACTTCAATGATCTCATTTTTAGCTTTCCTCTTCTTTATTAATGGATGCAGTAACTTCTGGCATTCCCCTGAGAATATTAATTCTACTTATTTGGAAGTACTCTTTTTATTGCTCTCTGCTGTCTTTCTTTTGTATTTTATACATCTTTCATTTGCTTTATGTTATTTTAATCTTACCCTATGCACTTACAATGATGGCACTTCTCCGAATGACTGTTGATTTTCTTCCTTTCTTTCTTTTTTTCATGTTGTCTACATTTTTTTTTCAAGGTGAGTTTCTGCTAGACTGTTATTACTGAGCAATCCTTTGGTGGAGAAGGAGGTTCATGCTGCTACAGGCCACAATTTGCCTCATTTGCAGTCAGATCAGGCTTTTTTTTTTTTTTTTTTTATTATACTCTAAGTTTTAGGGTACATGTGCACATTGTGCAGGTTAGTTACATATGTATACATGTGCCATGCTGGTGCGCTGCACCCACTAACGTGTCATCTAGCATTAGGTATATCTCCCAATGCTATCCCTCCCCCCTCCCCCGACCCCACCACAGTCCCCAGAGTGTGATATACCCCTTCCTGTGTCCATGTGATCTCATTGTTCAATTCCCACCTATGAGTGAGAATATGCGGTGTTTGGTTTTTTGTTCTATCGCAAGATCAGGCTTTTTGTCAGAGAGAGGACATGCCCATTAGGCAAGATGTATTCAGATATTTCCAACTGATCGCTGCCTTTTCTTTCTGATTCAAATTCCCATTCTCAATATATTTACCTAATGTATGCCTCCATTTTGCCTTTTTAAGCAAGACTAAAAAATCAATACCCTTGGAAAAAATTGATTAATTTGGCTAACTTAAATTTAAAGTCTTCACTTCTAGCAAAATAGTTTTACTACATATTTTTTACTATGAGAAAATATGTAAACTATGTATACGAAAGCAAATCTATAAATAATTTAGAAAAATAAAAATATTTCAATAGAAAAGTGGGAAAATGTAAAAATAGGTACTTACTGGAAGAATCAAGAGATTAGTTCTAAAGACCTTAATTATTTATTTAAACTAATTTAATTAAAATTTTAAAAATAATTAAATTTTTCAATAATCAAGTAAAACAAATTAAACTTAAACAATAGAACCTTTTATTTTGAGATGCAAAAGCATGAATCAAAGACATCTGTAAAGCTTAAATGTATTCAGATTGTAAAGCTAACCCATGTAAACCAAACTAGGCCAGGAATTAGACTATATTAGCGCCCCAGACTCCCCCAAGTGTCCCTTCCTAAAAGAAGCTCCTCTCACCCTAAGTTTTATGTATAATTTTTTTGCTGTGCTTCAAAAAGGTATAGCATGTATGCATCTCTGAACAACATACCTTAGTGTTTTTTGGCCTGCTTTGATAATTACTATGAAATCCTCTTTCTGTATTATTTTGTGCCACACTCCTTTTGTTCAACATATGTTTATGAGTGACAGCCCTGTTGTTGCAAGCAGTTGTAATTTATTTTTTTTCACTGCTCTATAATATTTGATTGTTTATATAGATGAGAATTTTCTATTTTATTCCTTATATACATTTGTGTTATTTTAAAGTTTGGTTGCTTAGGAGCAAAGTCAATATGAAAATACTTGGACATATGCTCTCAGAATTATATGCATAAGTTTATCTACAACATATAACTATCCAAGGAATTTTAGGAGCAAACATATGTGGTTACTTATTTAATCACAGACTAACTTTTTTTCAAATCAGTTGTATCAATTTATACTTCTTCCTGTGGTACCTAAGATTTCATAAAATTATACTTTCAATCCATGGGCTTAGCAAAATAATTCAAAGTTTAATAATATCAAATTGACATCTGTAATTTAAGACCACTTTAGATGAAAATTTTTGATATCTATTAAATTTTACAATGTGAATAACTTATAAGCACAATTTTCCTTAACTCATCATCTGTCTTATGAAATACTAACATATGTGCAGTAAAATGCAATAGGATGTCAATTACAGCTTTTTAAAAATAGTCAAAAGCCCATTAAATAGATTAAATGTCCACCAATAGAGAAATGGCTAAGTAAATATGACATATCTAAGAGTTAAAGAAATGATAAAGATTAACGTGTGTTGAATCACTAAGATTTCCAATACATATTAAATTGAAAAATAAAAACACATTATTGTGGTTACAAATACACAAAGTATTAGATTATCAAATCAGACTCACATGCATCGGAGATCTTATGCAAACTTAACTAATAATTTTATGGATAAAAATTATTGTGAGGTACAGGTGGAGCAAGGTAAGGTCAGATAGCACTGTGAGAATCCCTGGGTCCTTTCCTTCCACATCAGATATGCTTTGAACAAGGATAATAGATGATGATTCTGAGTAAGATGTGCGGTCATCTCACTTACACAGAGGAGATATTTAGATCACAAAATATCTCATTTTGTCTTTAGATGGTCCAGGAAACTACGCCCCATGAGTCAAAGAGATTTAGGTTTTATTATAAACAACCCTAGAAAAGAAATCACAGCACATACATTCTTCTAAAAGCATTCTGTAGGTAAGGTATTCCTTCCTGGAAACTTCTTAGTTTGTTTGCCAAGAGGTTAGCCAGTTATATGGTTACCAAAAAACCTGCCTTCTTTGTCTCCTGCATGTTTCTTATTAAAGAGAATGAATGAATTGCAGAACTATTGTTTGCACATTTACTTTTAAATGGTTTATCAGTAAAATATGTGAGAATACATTTTTAAAATAAACTTATGTGATTGCTTTGGAAAATGTCTGGAAATACGCAAACCACACTGATAATAATGGCCTTCTGGGGATGAACCAACACACAATAGATTTACTGGTAATCGTTTGATTTTTTCAAAAGTACTACGTTCCTGTATAATTTGCATGATTAAAATGTATTTAATATAATTTCCACCTGTGATAATTTTCTTGTGTATAAATAGGACATTGCTCTTGCTATTAGCAGCTATATACTGTAATATTTATAGTTGAACCACAGGGTTTAGCAGACTTCAGCCCATACACTGAACCTGTCCTATTGCCTGTTTTTGTACAACCTGCAGCTAAGAATGTTTTTATATTTTTTGAATAATACAAAAATATCAACAGAATAATAGTTCGTAAAACAAAATTAACAAAATTTAACATTTGTGTCTATGAATAAAGTTGATAATATTGTAACCACAGCCATTTGTTTGCATATTGTCTACTTTCTTGTTACAACAGGGTTTAGCAGTTGTGACAGAGACTTCTACAATGTTTCCAAAGCCTAAAATATTTACTGTCTTACCCTTTATAGAAATAAATACTTTGCTGACACTGTGACTCATAATAATGTTTGCAACTACTTTTTGAATAAGCTCAAAAGTTTACAGACACACACTCCTAAAATATTTGTTATATTGCTCTTTATAGAAATAATTTGCTTATCCCTGTGAATTATAGTGATGTATACAACTGATTTTTGAATAAGTTAAAAAATTTAGCTGGGGCGGTGGCTCACACCTGTAATCCCAGCACTTTGGGAGGCTGAGGCGGGCAGATCACCTGAGGTCGGGAGTTCAAGACCAGCCTGACCAATGTGGAGAAACCCAGTCTCTACTAAAAATACAAAATTAGCTGGGTGTGGTGGCGCATGCCTGTAATCTCAGCTACTCGGGAGGCTGAGGCAGGAGAATCACTTGAACCTGGGAGGCGGAGGTTACAGTGAGCCGAGATTGCACCATTGCACTCCAGCCTGGGCAACAAGAGCGAAACTCAGTCTCAAAAAAAAAAAAACTTTACACACACACACACAAACATGGATTATGGATTGAGTTGCATGTATTTGAATATTAGTTTTGTTATTCTTGCAACTTATTAGGAGGTTTGACACTTTTTCTAAATTACAATTGGGTGAAATTTTTGCAATTGATAAATTGCTAGATAACATAATCTAGCTCATATTATATGATAACTTTAGATGTTAAATCAGCAATAAACCTTATGAAGATCTATGTTTCTAGGAAATAATTACTTCAACAAGAAGGGAAAGTAAAGACAGAAGGTAAAACAAAATATAAGACGAAATAAAATAAAGATGGGAATTGAATGCCATAGAAGTGTGGAAGTTGGAGGGAAAGTTTCTAAAATTATTTGGATAAAAAGGAAGCCATATATTTTACTGAATCTTCTAGATGGGTTTTAATTCTGTATCCTTTCATACTCACATACTATGCCATTTTTTTCAACTTTTCATTCCACTTGCACTTCCTAACTTATGATGAATTTACCTATATAGAGTCCTTTTATCATTTAGACTAAAATTGTATTTATTTGAAGGTAAGAACGGTCATATACTTCTTAGTTGTTTTCAGAATTGAAAACATGGTTGAGGCCAGGCACGGTGTCTCTCATCTGTAATCCTAGCACTTTGAGAGGCCGAGGCGGGGGGACTACGAGATCAGGAGTTCAATACCAGCCTGACCAACATGGAGAAACGCGGTCTCTACTAAAATTACAAAATTAGCTGGGCATGGTAGTGCACACCTGTAATCCCAGCTATTTGGGAGGCTGAGTAAGGAGAATCGCTTGAACCCTGGAGGCAGAGGTTGCAGTGAGCCGAGATCACGCCATTGCACTCCAGCCTAGGCAACAAGAGCAAAACTCATCTCAAAAGAAAAAAAAAAAAGAAAAAAGAAAACATGGTTGAAAGTCAATATCCATGTGATAAATTGAGTTAGAAAGCCAATGAGAGCTTAGCTAATATAAAGGTGATGGAATTCACTATCAAAACTTTTCAGAGACTTAGAAAAAATATGGAAAATTAGTGAAAATGTAAGAGAATGAAGCTCGAAATCAAGATAATTAAACTGCAAACTTTAAGAAGGCAGGAAAGATATCCTTTACTTAGTTTGTCTTGTCCAACTAATGGTTAGTTGAATGCCATGCACATAACACATCCCTCTGAGTACTTATTGAATAAATGTAGAATGTCATTCTGGAATAAATTGAGGCAAGAAACTAGAGGGATAGCAGTGTGAAAAGTGAGATTAATTTATTTGGTATAGAGTCAGTAAATTTAAGTGGGTCATTTGAAACAACAAGCTTAAAAGAAAACCAAATAAGCATTTTCAATGCATAGAAATGCAACCATTTTTCTCCTTCTGTACTTTATCCATTCAAACATTGCTTGAAAAAAAATATAACTTTCAGTCTTGCTTTTTTATCTCCACCAAACTCAGATAATTTTGGTCGTTGATGACCTTTCTAAGCTAATTCCTATTTTAGAATGCTATGGACGAATGAATCTCAAAACTTCTTTTAACCAATTTATTTTATTCCATTTCCTAAGGAATAGAAACTTTTTACCTCCAACCCAGGGGAGCTATGAAACAAACTCCCCATTTATTTCCAATCCAAACACATTTGATAAAACAGGCAGAGGAATTTTTTATCAGATCTGTATTTTAAATTTTCATGACTGTTGTTCAAGAGTTTCCATTCTTGCTCATAAATATGTAGAGGCTTAAAATTCTTTTCTGAAAAATAAACTGCTACTTTAAATGATTTTAACTCATTTTTATAATACTTTTTTTATTCTCTGATGATCTCTTGCTGTTTTTCTTTCTCTAGAAATGTTCTAAGAATAAATTAGCTGATATAGTAAGAAAGGTTCACAAAATGAGTCCTTCACTTATACAGCACCTCTTCTAAATAACAGAGAGATTACAAATCCAATGTATTTAAACTCTGAGTTGTCTATATGTGTAGTGTTATAAAATGTAGCTGTCAGTTTTAACAGCTTTTCCCCCTGAGATTTCAGTGGCTAGCTAATGATCTTTTTTAAGAATTAGGACATTTTCTAGATAGCGAAATGGCAGGAAAACATATCAAATACATATTTTTCCATTATAGTATTCTGAGGACTGTAAAGTCTTACTCAATGTATATCACTTTTAATTTTTAGGATACATAGAAATATTTGCTAGTAGAAATAAATGGCAAGTGTTTACTTGAAGATGGTTTAGAAAGATGCTTTTCTCTTTTAATTTGAATTGCTACTGTAAATGTCATCACATGTATTTCAGTATTGTCTATGCCAACTTTGTACCTGAAAAACAGTATTATGAATTAGGCATTATATTCCATCTTCATAAATTAAAAAAGAAACATAATAACTAGCGAAGTGGAATGAGGAAGGTGTGGGGAGACACAGAAATTTTCAAAAGTAGTAACAAATTCAAGCATGTATTAGCTTAATATATCATAACTTAAATGATTTAAATTAGGTATATGTTTATACCAATAAGTTTTAAATTCTTAATTCTTACCTCATCAAGTACCAACAAAGAATGCCCTTCCATATTAATACACTTTGGGAATTAAGATAAAGTATATGTAATTAAATCATCAAACTCCTTTTGTTGTTTAGCAGGTAGTTTGATATAATAAGAGAAATTGTGTTCTCATTATATATTTGTCACAATGAATGAATGTAAAACCTTAATCAGGCTATCTGACTTCTTTTAGTGACATTTCCCTTTTTGCAACCAACACATCAAATTAGTAATATTTATCCTACAAAAATAATGTGAAGATAAATGAGATAAGATATATAATAGTCACAAATACTTATTGAATAAAGCTGTTTTTATTTATATATTTCTATGTACTTACTAGATATGTTCTTATTAAATATTTTATTATGGTATATGTCAAGTCTTTTACTTTTTTTATACTTAGTGTATTATAGAACTCACCATCCAATAAAATTGTAATACAATTTTCTTGATTTACTAATCCTAGGTGAAAAAAAAAAATATATATATATATATATGTTGTTTTCTGTTTGAATTATGCTTAGTTGATGGCATTTTCAATAATCTCTCTGATTCTTCCTTTTCCTGTTTAAACTACTCTCATTCTCATTGTGGCCTAGAGTTCTTTTTCCCTAATATTGCCTTCAGAAGGCTAAGTTTCTAATATAATAACAATTTGAGTCTTTACCACTTCTCTCTAGAATCGTGATTTAGACTAGGTTATTAGAGTAAACAATATGATTCCAAATTTTGTCCTTTTTTTAATGGGCTAGCATCCAAAAAGCATAAGAATTCTGGGGGGAAATGACATAATTAAGCTAGATTATTTTAATTTAAATTCAGAATTAAAAATGATTTTCAATAGCTTCTTTGTCTTAATTTAATAAGCTTTTGTTGAACATTGATTATATTTTGAATTCTATTTTTTCTTTTGTTTTTAGTTGGCACATAATTATACATATTTATGGGATACAGAGTGATATTTTGATACATGTATACAATATGAAATATTCTAATCAGAGTAATTAGCATACTATCACCTTGTACATTTGTCATTTCCTTGTGATGTGAATATTCAGAATTCTATCTGGTAGGTTTTTAAAAAAATTCACTGAATTATTGTTAACTTAATTCACCCTACAGTGCTACAGAACGCTAGAGCTATTCCTCCCTTCTAGCTACAACTTTGTTACAAAGTTAACTTTGCTTACCAACCTCTTTCCATCCTCTTCTTATTCCCATCCTTTCCAGCCTCTGATAATTACAATTCTACTTGTTACTTTTATAAGCTCATTTTTAGCTCCCACATATAAGTGAGAACATGTGGTTTTTCTCTCTCTGTGCCTGTCTTATTTCACTTAACATAATGTCCTCCAGGCTCATCTACGTTGTAACTAATAACATGATTTCAATTCACTACAAAAGTTAAAAGGATACTCAACAGTGCCAAACATTCTATTTTAGTTTCCCAATGCATTCACTCCCACAGCATTCATAACAATAACCTTCTACAAAGTTACCACATGTCTTATGCTAAATTGATGAGATCTCCCAATATTAAGTAAATTCTGTCCCTTAGCTCTCCCTCTCATTTTAGTATTATCATTCTCATTAATGAATAATTCCCTTTTTGTTAAAAGTTTACATTGACCTACCGTTGTCCTTCAGTTATCAACTTACTTTGTATTCTTTCTTTGAAAGAAATCAATCAAACAATAGACAGTCTCCTTCAATATTTCCTGTACTGTCTTCAATCCACTTAGCTGAGTACTTTCTTTTTTCTCTACTTACTCACTTTTTCCCCTGAGTGTTCTCAAGCATTTTCATGAGTTTAAAGGCCAGTTACATGATAGCATCTCAGAATATTTCCAATTTTGGTATCTTCTCTGAGTTAGAGCTTTGCATAGTCATCTACTTACTTAATATCAAATGTGGATTGTTTTATAGACAACTGAAATTCATAATGTTTTAAGTAGAGTTTTGTTATTTTCTCTGCTTCCCAGTTTGTGTGTGTATGCTTGTTTGTTTACTTCAGCTGGTGTTCCCATTGATTTTATCTTATCTAATACACCAAAACCCTATCAGTGGCTCTTTTCTTCAAACTTGCACATATCTTAAATATGTATTTCATTATTTTGAACAAGGTCTCCACCTTCTTGTCGTTTCACTTTAATAGTTTTCTAATTCATTTCCTTGTGTTTATTCTTGTCCCTGTAAAAATTATTCTTGGTTTAAGAGGCAGAGATATATATGTATTATAAACACAGGGAAACAAATTAGATATAAACCAATTACTATAAACCAATGTAATAATAATAATATATATTACTTTTTTCTATTTTTTTATTTCTTCTTTTTCTTTTTTATTTTTTGTAATGTAAGCAAGATTCTTTCCCTCCTCTGCCTTAAATCCTTTAGTTACTTGTGGAGTACAATTACAAATCTCCAGGATGCTAAAGCTCTGCTCTGCTGTCTACAACCACAGGCACCATTCAAGACCCTCACTCCTAATGAGACAGGGCTCTTTCCACTCTTGAAACACAGTTTTTCCCCATGGCAGGGTTTTGCACAAGGTAACATCTTGTCTTTGAAGCTTCATAGTTTGGCTTTTTAATCAAATGGTTCCTTTTCCATATTTAAGTCATCACTTTACATTTCATTTTCTTTTTTTTTTTTTTTTTTTTTTTTTTTTTGAGACGGAGTCTCGCTCTGTCACCCAGGCTGGAGTGCAGTGGCGCAATCTCGGCTCACTGCAAGCTCCGCCTCCCGGGTTCACGCCATTCTCCTGCCTCAGCCTCCCAAGTAGCTGGGACTACAGGCGCCCGCCACTACGCCCGGCTAATTTTTTGTATTTTTAGTAGAGACGGGGTTTCACCGTTTTAGCCGGGATGGTCTCGATCTCCTGACCTCGTGATCCGCCCGCCTCGGCCTCCCAAAGTGCTGGGATTACAGGCGTGAGCCACCGCGCCCGGCCTTACATTTCATTTTCTTGGAGAGGTCTTCACATGACTCCAAGCTATCACCAGTTATGTGCTATCGTAGAACATGGTTTATCCAGAAATAGTGATAACTTTAATCACTATTGATCATTCTTTGGTTTTCTTTACATTTATTTTATATCTTAAACACTGTAATATAAAAGACCTCAGGGATGGACCATGAATTTCATATTTAGCACAATACTTCAGAAGATCCATCCTATCCTTTTTCTTTTTTATTCATTTTATTTTAAAATTTTCATTTTGAACTACTTTAAAGCTTACAAAAATATATTTTAAAAAATCAAGAATTCCTATATATTCTTCACCCAGCTTCTTGACTGCTAACACCATATCTAAGAGTACAGTTACTCACATTAGGAAATTGATACGGAATTAGTTACTTACCTACAGACCTTATTTACATATTTTGTTC
Organism: Homo sapiens; assembly: GCF_000001405.40. Taxonomy (NCBI): domain Eukaryota; kingdom Metazoa; phylum Chordata; class Mammalia; order Primates; family Hominidae; genus Homo; species Homo sapiens. The sequence goes on from NC_000009.12 coordinate 40,026,116, forward strand.
ATGGTTCCACTAATGTTTTTTAACTAGGATCAAAATCAGGGTCACATATTGCATTTATCTGCTACATTTCTTTAGTTTTCTTTATTCGGGTGCGGAGGCTCATGCCTGTAATCCCAGCACTTTGGGAGGCCGAGGCGGGCGGATCATGAGGACAGGAGATGGAGACCATCCTAGCTAAAACGGTGAAACCCCGTCTCTACTAAAAATACAAAAAATTAGCTGGCGTGGTGGCGGGCACCTGTAGTCCCAGCTACTTGGGAGGCTGAGGCAGGAAAATGGCGTGAACCCAGGAGGCGGAGCTTTCAGTGAGCAGAGATCACGCCTCTGCACTCCAGCCTTGGCAACAGTGCAAGACTCCATCTCAAAAAAAAAAAAGTTAAAAAAGAAAATTCAGCTTTTCTTTTTGTCTTTCATGCCCTTGATACTTGTTTTTTGTAGATTATTTTGAAGTTTGATTTTTTTCTAATATTTCTTCATGGTTAAATTCACATAATATATTTTGGCAAGAATGCCACAATGCCGAGGTTGTCCTTCTCAGTGCATCATATCAGGAGGCACATGATATTATCGTGTCCTAATATTGTTGACGTTAACTCTGATCACTTGAATAAGACATTGTCTGCCACATTTCTCCACTTCAAAGTTACCATTTTTAAAATCAGTATTTTGTTGAGAGATACTTGGAGATTATGTAAATATCTTGTTTCTCATAATTGTATCCACTAATTTTAGCAGACTTGTCTGCAACAATTATGTGGTATTTGCCAAGAAATGAGAATCTATTTCCACTATTCTTTCTATATTTATTGATTAGAATTCTACTGTATGGAAAAGCTTTCCTTTGTCCCACTTTTCTTATTTATCCAATTATTTATTTATATTAGTGTGGATTCATGTGTATTTGGTTTAATTAATCTGAATAATCTATTGCCATCATTATTTATTCCCTTGTTCAATTTATCTCAGTTTGGGTCACTGAGAGCCACTTCTAGTTAGCTCCTATGTTCTTTGGCATGTCTCAATCATTAGTTGAGACTTCCTTATTTTCTTAACAACAACAGATGTCTCAGACCCATTTTGTTCTTTCTGCCGCATGCACCTAGAATCAGGCATTGATCCAAGGAGCTCTGTATCCTTTTAAAGAAGAAAAAAGTGAATCCAAGATTTGAATGCTAGATGTGCTGATTGCTATTAAAATGTTATTGCTTCTAGTCTTAGTGGTTAAAATTAAGAAATATACACACATTCGGCCGGGCGCTATGGCTCACACCTGTAATCCCAGCACTTTGGAAGGCTGAGATGGGCGGATTATGAGGTCAGAAGATCAAGACCATCCTGGCTAACACGGTGAAACCCCGTCTCTATTAAAAATACAAAAAAATTAGCTGGGCGTGGTGGCAGGTGCCTGTAGTCCCAGCTACTTGGGAGACTGAGGCAGGAGAATGGCATGAATCCAGGAGGCAGAGCTTGCAGTGAGCCGACATTGGGCCACTGCACTCCAAGCTGGGCGACAGAGAAAGACTTCATCTCAAAAATAAAAATATATATATATATACACATTCACACACAAACATGTGCGTCTAGGTCTATTTATATATCTACACATTCTTTTCAATTTCTATCTAACGTAGAAAAAAAGTAAACTTAAGTATATATTGATAGTTTTGATTCTGATTGAACACCATAAGTGTTATTCTAGTCTCCACTCCCCCTCATTTCTAAATTCTTTTTCTAAAACGGAATCAGTTTTGTTTTAGTTAATATACTTAATATAATTATTTGCTTTTTATTTTTTTTTTAAATTTCAACTTTTAGATTTGAGGATATATGTGAGTGTTTGTTACAGAGTATACTGCATGATGCTGAGGTTTGGGTATGACTGAACCCATCATCCAGGTAGTGAGCATAGAACCCAAGAGGTATTTTCTATGGCACTTTACACATTCTAGAAAACTGGTTGTTAATTAGCACAAGCACCTATAATAGTGCCTGATATATTTAGTACTCAAAATATATGTTAAATTAAAAACAAATGTATAAATTAATGGTTGAATATCATAATAATTACTCAAAATGTAACATAATTCCAAAGGAGAAAACTTTTTTCTAAAAAGGCTCTCTCAATTGCTCTTTCTGATTTACTATTTTCCCCAATCTGTAGTTGCTTCATTATTGTTTGGAATTTTGCATTAGTTGTCAATAAACAAAAAATATGGATCATATCACAGCTCTTTCATTGCTTTCATTTCTTGAGATATATGAATGTATGTGATATCTTTGATGTCCTGTATTTTATCTTTATTGCTTTTTGTTACTTAAGAACATCTAGAAAAGAAGATAAATATTAATCATGTCAGAAATTATCAAAGGTTGATTACAATAAAAATTTCTCTAATGTGATAACCACTCAAAACTTCCTTCTTCATCAAAACACAGTATTTTTTAAAAAATGGAGTGCTGCATTTTTATTTCACAGAAAATAATCAAATGATAGCCAGAATATTTTGAACTAGAGTCACATAGGATATTCTAATAATACTGCTTGTGAAAGAAGTATTGAGGAGGTCTTAGGACCAAAGAATATTTGTTTAATAGTGTCAGAATTCATTTTAACACCATAAAAAGGATATGTATTTGTTCAATTTTCACTCACTGCACAAAGAATTAGATAAAAGAAGATTTTCAGTAATAGCATTCATTTTGAGTCTTACCAATCCTTTCAGTTTTGGTATAACAAAAATGCTATTAGCTTTTACTCTGTTGTGTTGAATTTTGATGATTTCTGACAGTCTTCACTGAGATGCTCAAAGAGATGAGACTTGCCAGTCGAAAAACTTAAGATCTCATTAAATTTACCAGCAACATAAAAGCTATTTCTGCCTCTTAACTTTTTGATGTGTTGCCTTTTTCTAGTCCTCTTCTCAGGACCTATTTAAAAGACAATAAAAATTTTGTTTTTGTGTGTTGAAAGATTTCTCCATTATCAAGAGAGTAGTCCTTAACTTTAGAATGACTGCATATATAGATATGAAAAATAAGGAAACAATTATTAAGAAAACTAATCGAATTTTTTACTAATATTTAGTAATTTTAACAAAATTATTGTGCATTGTATTTTGTAGCATTTATGCAGAGGATATACTAACCTGTTTAAATTTTTAGACAAAAATAGTAGAAAATAGAACATCGTCATTTTCAGGAGCAAGGAAGTAACCTGTGAAAAAGTGAATGCCTTTCTTCAAATAATATGCTAATGAAAGGCTGAGATATTAATGTCTAAATATTATAAAACTTTCATTTTAATATAATGTTTTACTTTATATTTATATTATATTGTATAACAAAGAAATGTGAGTCTTGTTACACCTGAGAACTTGAACTGGCAATCTACATATTGTTGTTGAAACAATTTTAAGTTAAACATACAATGAGAGGGAAAAATGATTCTGTTGCCTCAATTTTAAAAGGAATATTTTGAAGAACCAATTTTCCATATAATAGCTTGTTATGATCTTGCCTTTTAGCCTCCCTGGATAAAGAAATGCATACTTATAATAATTGAAGGAAGACAATTTTCCTTGTTTTCTGCAAATTAGAAATATATTAGGCTATTAAATACATAATTCAAAATATACAGAATAAAGGTATTATAGAACCTAAGAATTATATAAAGAATTATATACATAAAGTAATGAATACATATACAAATAGTATAAAAATACTAAAAATAGTATTTGCTTATTGATTAATTACTATGGGTATTATATAACTCTTAGTTTCTACATTGCTTTTCTATTCTTAGTTATTATAATAGGTATATTATAATTACTAATATGTATAAACTACTTATAGTTTATATGAATGTGTTATATGTACATGTATATTATAATAACTAATACCTATAAACTATTTACAATTATATGTATTATAATAACTAATAAATATAAACTACTTATTGTCAAAACTGTTTTTAACTATTAAAAGATAAAGCACACAGATATGTTTTCTTTACTAGGTATTCCCAGAAGCACTCATAAAACTCGGGGTTTTCATATAGCAGTGATTACAGACTTGATATTTTTATTATTCCCATTTTATAGATTAAGAGCACAAGACCCATATTAGTGTTATTTAGCCATGTCATAGAGCCAATTCCCAGATATTTTTTCCACTTGTTTTGTCATGAAGAATGAGAAGTAGAATCAGCATCAAGTTTGTGCTAAACAAGTACAATAATAAGAAGCACAGCAAATGCTGACTAGACTGTAAGAATATTTTTGCTTTTAGGCCACCCGAAAAAGATAAGATATATGAGGTGATCAAAGTGAATAATTATATAAACAAGAGGAATTAGAATATGAATAAGCCAGGAAAAATAGGAATAGGCCAAGAAAACACACACACCCATTTCTTATTTAAACCTAAAGGGAGACAAATTCATTCAATCTATACATATTTATTTTGCTACCTCAATAGAGATAAATATCTTCTCTAAGAAAAATCCCACTTTACTTAATATGTATCACATTTACCTAATAAATAACACATTACTAAAACAGAGAGCAACCAGTGTTTTACTCTTTTTTTTTTCAGAGATGTTTTGCTCTTGTTGCCCAAGTTGGAGTGCAATGGCATGATCCCAACTCACTGCAACCTCCACCTCCCAGGTTCAAGCAATTCTCCTGCCTCAGCCTGCCAAGCAGCTGGGCTTACAGGCATGCACCAACATGCCTGGCTAATTTTTGTGGTTTTTTTTAGTAGACACGGGATTTCACCATGTCGGTCAGGCTAGTCTCGAACACCTGACCTCAAGTGATCCACCCGCCTCGGCCTCCCAAAGTGCTGGGATTATAGGCATGAGCCTTTGCGCCTGACCTCATTTATTTTCATATAAAATATAGGGTCAAGTATGTTGAGATATTAGTTACGTTATATTTTGCTCAGTATTGCCTGAGAGTTGGATTATTTTATCATTGTAGAGAATAGCTTCTAGATTATGAGAATATTAAATAAAATAAACTGGAGAGACTCTCAGCAGCAAACTATGGTATGTAAGTACATATGTAAATATGTATCTATCTATCTATCTATCTAATCTATCCTATCTATCTATCTATCATCTATCTATCCATCTATCTATCTATCTCCTTTTCTTTCATTTATGTCTGGATCTGTACCAAACACCAGGCAGAGGAGTTAGGAGAAGTAACTGAAAAACCCATGGGTGACATCACCAACTAAAACAGGTGACAAATAATCAGCATGAAACCCAGAATACAAGAGTAATTGTCCTAATCACTGGCAGCATAGGGCCAGTACCAGCTGGAGTTAATGGCAAAGATAAAATGAAGATAAAAGGAAGTATTGTAAGATCTTAATATCAATAAACTACAACAAGAAATCATCAATAATGCTCACTCGCAAAAGAAAAATACTTACCCTGAAGAAAAACAATTGGAACAAAATCAAAATTAATCAGAGAATCAGATAATCTGAGACAAGTAAGATAATTTTTAGAAAATAATTTTTAGAAAAAAATAATTTGAAGGTACATAAAATCAAATAGAAGTGGTACAAACTATAGTAAGAGATATAGAGTATAAAAATAAGAGTAAAAAACAGAAATTGAGAGATTAAAAACATCTAAAAATTTTCTAAACATAAAACTTAGGCAAAGAATAGTAATACCCGTGTAATGGTTATTTCTAAGAACAAAAATTAAAATAAAAAATAATATTAATTATTTGAGCATGAAGGTAAAAGGATAAGAAGTTTATATTGATAATAGACTTCTTGATAGCAATATTTTATACAGGATGATAATCAAGAAATGGTTTAATGATTATGAAACAGATAACACAGTAGCGAGATGAGATTTTATTCATCCAAACTATGAATCATGTCTAAGGAATGTAGAACATCATGAATATTTATGATTTTAAAAAACATTGTTCCTGTGATGGCTTTTTTAGAAATGTCCTACCTACTGACAAGAAGACAAACATCATGTGAAGCTTCTGGATAAGGACTAAATATGTTTAATTTTATAATTAAGAGCAAGTAATGGGGATTAAAGTGACAAAACATGATGCTATTAAGTGTGTTAAACATGAAGAAATAATGCAACTCAACAACAAACAGAAAAAAGGAGAAGAAAAAGAAAGTAGACGAATCTTAATGACTATCTCGGGAGTATCTAACTGCCATTAAAAAATATGGAATTAAAGTAAATAAATGTTAAGCCAAAAGAGAGAAGAAAGGAAAGAGAGTTTACTAGAGAACAGTATTACTACTCATTGAAGAAAACAATAGATAGTATTCAAACACACTAGAGGACTAGTATATTTTATTATAATATTATTATAAGATAATAATAAGAATAAACATAGAAACATTTATAAATACCAGATGAGTATATCCTGCGCCTCAAATTAAAGTGTAAATACAGGGCAAGATTTTATATAAATTATTTATATAGCAAAAACTTATATAACAGAACTTAACACCAGCATAACAGGTATATCAAAGACACAAATGGGCTTAACTCACCATTAAATGGCGTACTTTTAGATTGGCTAATGGAGCAGAATCCAATCTATTCTGTGTGCAAGAAACATATTGAACAAGGCAATTCAGAATGGTTTAATGTAAAAGGAAGAGCAAAGATAGATCTTGTATGATAGCAAGATCCTGAAATAGTTGTCAGAATTTTGCTATGAGACAAGATAGAATTTAAGACAAAATAAATTTAACAGGATAAGGAAGGGAAATTTATTCTACAGAAGGATTCATGCTTCATTCTACATTAAAAATAAAATATATATTAATAACATACACAAAATTACAATTTTCATAAAGCAGAAATAACAGAAGTTGAAGGAAGAAATAGACATTACAACTGGAGATTTTAACATAGCTTATTAATTGGTAAGTCCTTGAAGAATGCAAATAAGCCTCACTTTTAGTAATTAAAAAAAATTAACACAAATACTGACAAAGACTCTCTCCTTCATCAAACTTTAGTCAGATTTTTGAGCTCTCCTCTCAACTAGATCTTCATCTAGGCCCCTTGCCTAGTCTCCATAGCTCACTTTTAACAAGAATCCTTAAGTCCATATAGAGAGAATCTTGATATCTGATCACCCTGAGCTGCCTTCAGCAAGAATCCTGTTAATTTGGTTTAGCAAGAGTTCCCCTACTTTTGACGTCTCCTCTTAATAATTTTCCATCCACTGACCCCTTCACACTGCTCCTTTGCTACAAATTTCCATGTGTGCTTGTATTTGGAATTGAGCTCATTTCTCTACTAAAGTCTCTTTTCCTGTTTTGCAGTAATTTCTGAATAAAATCTTCTTTACTGCTTTAATTATCCTCTGGCTCTGGTTCTCCTTGACATTACTCTTTGAAGAATCACTTTAGGGGAAAAGAATAAATGCAAAAAGACAAAGTCAGAGACTATTATCCGAATATAGAATGGAGATAATGATATCATACTGAATGGGCAAAAACTGGAAGCATTCCCTTTGAAAACAGGCACAAGACAGGGATGCCCTCTCTCACCACTCATATTCAACATAGCGTTGGAAGTTCTGGCCAGGGTAATTAGGCAGGGGAAGGAAATAAAGGGTATTCAATTAGGAAAAGAGGAAGTCAAATTGTCCCTGTTTGCAGACGACATGATTGTATATCTAGAAAACCCCATTGTCTCAGCCCAAAATCTCCTTAAGCTGATAAGCAACTTCAGCAAAGTCTCAGGATACAAAATCAATGTACAAAAATCACAAGCATTCTTATACACCAATAACAGACAGACAGAGAGCCAAATCATGAGTGAACTCCCGTTCACAATTGCTTCAAAGAGAATAAAATACCCAGGAATCCAACTTACAAGGGATGTGAAGGACCTCTTCAAGGAGAACTACAAACCACTGCTCAATGAAATAAAAGAGGATACAAACAAATGGAAGAACATTCCATGCTCATGGGTAGGAAGAATCAATATCGTGAAAATGGCCATACTACCCAAGGTAATTTACAGATTCAATGCCATCCCCATCAAGCTACCAATGACTTTCTTCACACAATTGGAAAAAACTACTTTAAAGTTCATATGGAACCAAAAAAGAGCCCGCATCGCCAAGTCAATCCTAAGCCAAAAGAACAAAGCTGGAGGCATCACACTACCTGACTTCAAACTATACTACAAGGCTACAGTAACCAAAACAGCATGGTACTGGTACCAAAACAGATATATAGATCAATGGAACAGAACAGAGCCCTCAGAAATAACGCCGCATATCTACAACTATCTGATCTTTGACAAACCTGAGAAAAACAAGCATTGGGGAAAGGATTCCCTATTTAATAAATGGTACTGGGAAAACTGGCTAGCCATATGTAGAGAGCTGAAACTGGATCTCTTCTTTACACCTTATACAAAAATTAAATCAAGATGGATTAAAGACTTAAACGTTAGACCTAAAACCATAAAAACCGTAGAAGAAAACCTAGGCATTACCATTCAGGACATAGGCATGGGCAAGGACTTCATGTGTAAAACACCAAAAGCAATGGCAACAAAATCCAAAATTGACAAATGGGATCTAATTAAACTAAGGAGCTTCTGCACAGCAAAAGAAACTACCATCAGAGTGAACAGGCAACCTACAGAATGGGAGAAAATTTTCGCAACCTACTCATCTGTCAAAGGGCCAATATCCAGAATCTACAGTGAACTCAAACAAATTTACAAGAAAAAAACAAACAACCCCATCAAAAAGTGGGCAAAGGATATGAACAGACACTTCTCAAAAGAAGACATTTATGCAGCCAAAAAACACATGAAAAAATGCTCACCATCACTGGCCATCAGAGAAATGCAAATCAAAACCACAATGAGATACCATCTCACACCAGTTAGAATGGCAATCATTAAAAAGCCAGGAAACAACAGGTGCTGGAGAGGATGTGGAGAAATAGGGACACTTTTACACTGCTGGTGGGACTGTCAACTAGTTCAACCATTGTGGAAGTCAGTGTGGCGATTCCTCAGGGATCTAGAACTAGAAATACCATTTGACCCAGCCATCCCATTACTGGGTATATACCCAAAGAACTATAAATCATGCTGCTATGAAGACACATGCACACGTATGTTTATTGCGGCACTATTCACAATAGCAAAGACTTGGAACCAACCCAAATGTCCAACAATGATAGACTGGATTAAGAAAATGTGGCACATATACACCATGGAATACTATGCAGCCATAAAAAATGATGAGTTCATGTCCTTTGTAGGGACGTGGATGAAATTGGAAATCATCATTCTCAGTAAACTATCGCAAGAACAAAAAACCAAACACCGCATATTCTCACTTATACGTGGGAATTGAACAATGAGAACACATGGACACAGGAAGGGGAACATCACACTCTGGGGACTGTTGTGGGGTGGGGGGAGGGGGGAGGGATAGCTTTAGGAGATACACCTAATGCTAATTGATGAGTTAATGGGTGCAGCACACCAGCATGGCACATGTATACATATGTAACTAACCTGTACATTGTGCACATGTACCCTAAAACTTAAAGTATAATAATAATAAAAAAAAAGGAATGGAGATAATGATGACGATGATGTCTTGGATAGTGATTGCAATGGACTGCATGGCTGTTGCCACCCTGTCTCTGAAACTTATAGGTGGAAATCCTAACCCTTAATATGATGGTATTAGGAGGTGGGACTTTCAGGAGGTGGTTACATCATGAGGTTGGAGCCCTTCTAAATGGAACTAGTTCCCCTATATAATAGACCCAAGAGAGTTCTCTCACTCTCTGACATGTGAGGATACAAGAAGAAAATGGTAGTCTGCAACTTAGAAGAGAGATATCACTGAAACCTGGTCACTCTGGTACCATGGTCTCAGACTTCTAGCCTTTAGAACTGTGAAAAAATTGATATTTGTTATTTCTAAGCCACCTAGTCTATAGGTCTTTGTGATAGCAGTCAGAATTGACTAAAACAGTAATAGTAGCAATGGCAATGGAAAGAGTGAATGCATTTGATATATACTTTGAAGAAAGAAATAACAGGACTATCAGTCATGTGGACGTTTGGCATGAGAGAAATGCAAGATGGTAGTTAAACAAATTTGTGTCTAAGTCTGAAGGTTGAAGAATAGTCAAAGGTAAAAGTAAAGCTATGGGAGTTACCGACACTTATGAGCCTTTTAAAGGAATTATTTATTTTTATTGTTAAATCACCAAGGAAGGGTTGAAACAGACAATAGAAATTAATGCCAAATGAGCTGAAAAAAAAATGTATTGCAATTGAGTTGGGAATAAAAAGCTGAGGTGGCAAGAAGAAAAGCAAGGTTGGCATATTTTTAACGAACTCTATAATGAATAATGTTTTGAAGAGGAAGAAATTTTCAACAATTTGAAATGCTGCTGAGACTTTGGGAAATGTGAATGGTGCCCATGTAGAAGTTATTGACAGTCATTGAAACAACACTCCCTTTAGCATTATGTATAAGAAACTAGATTAGAATGAAACAAATGGATTCTTAATTCCAGAATTGTGGAGAAATAGAAAATCTAAAAACGTATTGGAAACACAAGAAATGCAACATGAACTATAATAACCATCCATTTCAATAAAATTAGAGGATTTCAGGTTCAGTCCATGATAAAGTAGCACAAACTCACACCCTGAAGTTGGCTAGAAAAGCTGGGCAAAATATGTTAGACAACTGTTGGAAGACACCGGAGAACAATCAATGTATACAGAGCTTGAGTGGGATCATTATTAAAAAGAAATAATTATAGACTATAAATTACATTCACTCAGATGTTTTTCCTCTAATAACATTTCCCAAATACTGATGTGAAGAAAGAAAGCATACACGGAAAGTGAAATTTTACTGTGTTGAGGTGACAGAGATTAGAGTTCAGAGTATCTAGTGTGTATGGGGCTCACGAGACAAATTTCCAAGAAGGAGGTAACCACAGAGAGAGAGCCTGAATATCTGCATACAAATGCCCCTTAAGTGTGGCCAGTATCAAAGATATGTATGCACAAGGTGAGACGTCAAGAAGCCTAGCAGAAATCAATAAATGGGAGGTTGGAGTGCTGAGTTTAGATTTCAGCTAGTGGTTTAGAGAAGAAAGAGGCTGTGGTTCAAACACTGGTAATTATAGAGGATGAGATGGGAGTGAGAAACTATATGGCTAAATGTGGTCATTCTTCAGGTTTTAGTTTTTATGCAGGGTGCTATATGCTGGTTGCTTCTAACACTGTAAAAGTTATTATTTAATTACCTACATATAAAAGATGACCATGAATAGGCATAAGATGAAAGTATGTCATTAATCAAAATGATGATTAATTCAATTCTCTATAATTGTGATTCAATTAAAAAGAATATTATTCATCACATTCACAGAGTAAATGAGAAAAATCACATAATTTCAGTAGATGCAGATACATAAGATCTGTATCCTAACAGATATTGATACAAAGAAGTATTTGATAAAATTTATCATTAATTTACTGTATATCTATATGCTCTTATTAAACTAGGATTTAAAAGGCACTTCATTAAGTTGATAAAGTGTATCTTTTGAAATCCTATAAACAATATCTTATGACATAATAATGTGGGAATGTTAGAAGGCTTGCTTTTAAACCTGGGAACAAGAAGAGATTCTCTATTATTTTCCTATGCTGCTGTAACAAATTGCCACAAAATGGGTAGCTTAAAGCAACACAGACTTTTTCTCTTATAGTTCTGAAGGTCAAAAATTCATAAACAGTATCAGTGGTCTAAAACCAAGGTGTGATCAGCACCCTATTTTTTCCAGAGAACTCAGGGGAGAGTAATTCTAGAAATTATTCCAGAAACGCAGCTTCTAGAACTACATTTCTTGTCTCAAAGGCCCCTTCTTCTATCTTCAAAGATAGCAGCGTATAATTTTCAAATATTTCTCCACTTCCATGATCACATAACCTAGATTCTATGTCAAATCTCCCTCTCCATCACTCTTATAAGGACACTTAAGATTGCATTTAGAGCCCACCAAGATAATTCATGATAATCTTCCATCACAAAATTCTTCACTTATTCACATCTGCAAGTCTCTTTGCCATAAAGGTTACATTTACAGGTACTAAGGATTAAGACCTGACATCTCTTGAGGCCATTATTCAGCCTAACACAGATGTCCTCTCTTGCTGCTTGTTTTACACATTGTACTTTTCTTAATACTTTTGAGAAAGTTTGCTCTAAAGAAGAAAAAAAAGTAGTTCTATATTTGTGAGACGTAGACTGAGGAGAATGACTATTTTTCTAATGTGATATATAAAAGCACATTTATGTGACAATAGCAATAATAGAGAAGATAAATGAAAGTTATGCAGAAGGGAGAAGATTTGACAATAGCAAGCATGAAAGTCCTGCAGGAGAAAAGTTTGGATGGGATACTGAATAAAATTGTAATATTACTTTTTGATGCATACGTTCACACCATTTTTTCACAATGCTTCCTAGATTTCTCTGTATTTCTTTCCCATCTATATATATATATACACATATATGCATATATATATACACACACATATATATACACACATATATACACACATATATATATACACATATATACACATATATACACACATATATATACACACATATATATACACACACACATATATATACACACACATATATACACACATATATATATACACACACTATATATATACACACACACACACATATATATATATATATACACACATTTTGACTGAAAATGATTGACTGGGATGAAAGAAAATGAGAAAGAAAAACGGAACAAGGAATTCTCAATTATATAAATAGAATATTATAATTAGTAAACCATGAATAAAAGAAGGCATATGGGCTAGGCGCGGTGGCTCACGCCTCTAATCCCAGCACTTTGGGAGGCCGAGGTGGGCGGTTATGAAGTCAGGAGATCGAGACCATTCTGGCTAACAGGGTGAAACCCCGTCTCTACTAAAAATAGGAAAAATTAGTCAGGCGTGGTGATGGGCACCTGTAGTGCCAGCTAGTCTGGAGGAGGCTGAGGCAGGAGAATGGCGTGAACCCAGGAGGCAGAGCTTGCAGTGAGCCGAGATCGCGCCACTGCACTCCAGCCTGGGCGACAGAGTGAGATTCCATCTCAGAAAAAAGAAAAAAAAAAAAGGAATACTTGATAAAAAAGGTATCCATATATCAGATATGAAGATGTAAAATTTATGTGCTATCTACTTCTGGAATTTCCACCATAAGGGAATAATAATGATGTAGGGGTTCACTTGAAGGACAGAACTTGTACTTGGTTACTTATGTACACAATCTCTGCCTTACTCGCTTTTGGTAGATCGTATTGTGTCATTTCAATGTGGCCATTATTGTCTTTTATGAACATATACAACAAAGTAATATACCTTTACATAATGTCTACATCTCTACTGTAATTTAAAATTTAATGGCTCAAAAATGCTAAATTACAAAATAGAGGAAGATGTGTGTTAAATGCAGATTAATATAATTTAAATAATATTATATATGATAAGGGTTTGTAAAACTTAACCATTAAGATGGATAGATGAGAAAGATAGAAACCTAGAATACAATACTAGAAAATCTAGAAACATAGTAGAGATGAGTTCAATAATTCGATTCTATATAAGAGGTCATCAAACTACAAAGCACAGAGCTAATCAGGCCACTGATACATTTTGGTAAACAAAGTTTTATTAGAATAAAGTGACATCCTTTTATTTTACATATTGTTTACGGCTACTTATGCACTACGATGGCAAATATTGGTACTCGTGACAGAGATCACATGGCACGTACATTCTAAAATACTTAATAGTTGGCCCTTCACGAAAGGTTTTGAGAGCTACTGCTCTAGGAAATCTCAGGTTCAATGTCAGTTATGAATCAGCGTTGCTTAGCATAGCCATGTTTGAAATCCTTTCCAATGACAATAATTGTTACTGCCTCTAGACAGAAGAGTCCAATTATTTTAAGGTTTCATTATTAGGAATGGTTCATTTAATTAAGCCATAGTTGTTACTTCAAGTATAATTAATTAGTGAAGCTATATTGCTTTTATGGGATATAATTAATAGGAAAATAGGTTACTGCTCTGTGGCATAGTTATAATTTAAATGCTGTGGCTTTATAGAATTTAAAGGTAGGGTCTGTTTATTATGAATTATGCCTCCCATCATCTAGCTCATGTGAGGTAGTTCTGGAATAGCACATTATTTATGTTTGCTGATAATTTATTTTAGATATAATGGTTGGTTAGGAAGGAGTTCATGGTGAAGAAGGTAGATGTCACAAAAACATGCCTGAAATGGTGATGGAGAAGATGAATCCGTGTATTTATTCATTTAATAAATTATGTTGTCATTCAAGCAAATACAAATAGTCTTTACTCTGAACATTCATATAAAATATCTGTTGTATAATTAATCGTGTGCTTCTGAATAAAATGGATGAAAGCATAGTTTGCATTATAAGCATTAATTCATTAAAATTTACCCTGAACATTGTTATTTGGTTTTATTAGCAAGAAATATAGCACTTGGAATGGTTTACTAAATACATGTGAAGAACTCTAGATCATAAAGAACCTAAAATACAGAATTTTCAGCATTATTATAATCTATTTAATTACACATTCAGGTTTATTTGTTACTGAAACTTAGTAACTTGATTTTGGGAGTTTTATATCGCTTCTGTGTCTTGTTTGTTTGCACAAGTTTGTTTATGGTGAAGTGCAAAGTATTTTAGTAAAAGGGATTTGAGCCACAGATGACAAATAATTACAGGAACATATAACATAAACTACACTTGGACTTTAAAGCAGGTTTAGATTATATTACTTTGGTTATTATTCTTTGTTTTCAAAAGGGAATGATGGGTTATAGCTATATGCCTAAATATTTAGGCAAAACACGACAAAAGAAGGGTGAAGAGACCTTTTATCTAATGGCCAAAGTAGAAGGTAGCACTCATAAAATATACTGTTTTGTGTAATAAGTGAATGGAATCTTTACACAATTTTTTGCTAGGGTTGTTTAGGAAACTTTTCTAATTGGCAACTACTTCATAGAAAAACTTGATCCAGACCTATATGTGGAACTTCCCTTTATATTAACTTGCTGAAATTATTAAAGTTAAGAGCTTGTTTTTCCAGGTTGATACTCTCAAGACCTACAAAGACCAGCACATTGAAGCAATCAGTTGATTACCGTCGTGATGCCTGCGTATGTTTATTTCATGTCAGACACACCTGAGGTCTGTAATTGAATACATAAAGAGTGCAACCATGGAAGAAACAAGGTTGGCTTGTGGTGTTCCTATGGCAGCATCGACACAGCTTCAAGTGCACCATGAGCATGAGCACTGCCAAGAAAATATATTGGCTCTCAACTCTCAGAATACTGCCGCGTCTAGAACTTTTGGCCTTGCCAACCACTGGGCAGTAAGAGACAGTAACAAATCACAGCAGATACTGTTTCCTTAGAGCAATTAAATTACATCAGAAAAACTAAGCTGAGTGATAACAAAACAATTTCTAAATGTCAGGAGCCTGTATCAATTCATTCATAAGTTGCTCATTTCACATGTCCTTGGTGTTGCTTATGATTCTACTCATGGGTCATTGTCACCTTTATACCAGGATCTAGAGGACAAAGCAGCCACTCCAGAACATTGAAAGTTACTGTAGTCAAGGAAAAAAAGAATGTTGTGAGGCACGCTCTGAATTTTTGCCTCTAGAAGGAAACAGACACTTTAGTCTACTAACATTTCAATAAGCAAAAGGAAATCACATTCCATAACTGAATTAAACAGGGCAGTGAGCTATATCCTACCATGTGTATGAAGAAGCCAAAAAATATGTAAGCAATCCTAATGTTTATCACCTTAAATTTATCCATGCATGCCACTGTGGTCACTTTCACTGTAAAAGCAGTCATTGCAGAATCATCACTAGTATCTCAGTGTATTAGTCAGGGCAATTAATATTAGTTTCTGAACCAAACTGCAAATATCTGTGACTTAACACAATTTTTTTTCTTCTCATTCATATAATAATTCAGTAGAGGATTAACTTTCTGAAATTCCTTAAAGGTTTTCACTGAATCCCCTGCATTTAATATAAAGAGGAGTATGAGAAGCATTGCGTGAGGTATCTTATAGCTCAGTCTAAAAGTGGGAAATATAACTTTTACCTACATTTCATTCACCAGTGAAATGGTCTCATCCTACCTGCAATTGAGGCTGAAAAATACAGCATTTCCTTGTGGTCCAAAGAAGGAAATAATGTTATCTCACCAATCTCTGTCAAGGTCAGTCCTTCTGATGCCAAAATACCTGCTTTAATCTTCCTCCCATTATAAAACACACTGACTTCTCTCAAAATGAAAAATGCAGAGTTCTTTCAAGGTCTGGCATCCAGCTCAAAATGTAGTATCTCTGGCCACTCATAATTCTCCCAGTGAGGTCCAGATAAGGTCCTCATTTCTCAGTAAAATCTAAACTTAAAAGAATAAATATGTGTCCTGTGTACAAATATGCAACGGTGAAGTGGGAACAAGGTGGCAGCAATAAATACATCTCTATCACCACAGTCATTTGTTCTTGACTATTTGCAAATCATTTCAGGAAGACATGGTGAAACATCCTACACTGTGAGTGGCAGAACCCCATGTGCACTGCAATCTCATTTCCTACCCTCCGGAGGAGTATATAAACTTTTCCTACGTAAATAATGGCCACATTTTTGTATCGATACATTGTAAGTTCTAAGATGTGTGTGTTTTTTTAAGAGGAATTAAAATAGAAAAGCATATACCTGAAAGATGTTCCTCGGGATATATCTGCATATATTCTCTACTCTTGTCATTTTAAATAAAAATACAGTGGTCCCTTGATATCCTCAAAAGATTGGGTCCAGGACCCCAGAGGATACCAAAGTCAGCACATATTCAAGTAATCCTGTGGAACCAGAGTATACAAAAAGTCAGTCCTCCATATCTGCGGGTTTTTCATCCTGTGGCTACTGTATTTTGATCCACATTTCAATGCAGATGCTGATTTTTTTAATTAAAAGAATCTCTATATAAGGGGATGCACACAGCTCAAGCTCATGTTGTTCGTCAACCGTACTTTTTTATTTCTGTCCAATATAATTTAAATAACATAATTCTGTGAACTGCATGTCATTAATTACATATACTAAGAGGTGGCATACCAATGTGTTTAAATTCCAAGAAATGGTGGCTAGCAAATTTAATTCTCATCTCTGCTCTGCCACAGACAAGTTCTGAAGTCTTGAGCAAATCATGAGTATCTGTCTCTAGCTTACTCACCTTAAGAAGGAGCCAGTAAGTAGCAATTATCTTTCAGTGTTCTTATGAGGAGTAAATAACCTGTACACATCAATGCTTAGAACAGAGATTGCCATGTGGTATTATGTCCAGAGTTGGTTCCTGCAGGTGGGTTTGGTGGGTTCGTGGTCTTGCTGACTTCAAGAATGGAGTCACGGACCTTTGCCGTGTTACAGATCTTAAAGATTGCATGGACCCAACGAGTGAGCGGTAGCAAGGTTTATTGTGAAGAGCAAAAGGACAAAGCTTCCACAGCATAGAAGGGGACACCAGCAGGTTGCTGCTGCTGGCTGGGGTGGCCAGCTTTTATTCACGTATTGGCCCCTCCCATGTTCCATTTTTGTCCTACCAGAGTGCCCTTTTTTTCAATCCTCCCTGCAATTGGCTACTTTTAGGATCCTGCTGATTGGTGCTTTTTACAGAGCGCTGATTGGTGCATTTTACAGAGCGCTGATTGGTGCATTTTACAAACCTCTTGCTAGACAAAAAGGTTCTCCAAGTCTCCACTCCACCTAGGAAGTCCAGCTGGCTTCACCTCTCAGTATGTTCTGAATAAACTGGGCTATTAAATATGTGATATAAATTAATCAAGCAGAGAAAAAGTTACTAGTGACAGGGAAAAGGAGAAAATATGTATTCAATATTATTTTGTAAACAATTTATAAATATGCTTCACCTATGAGTTTCTTCTCAGTACCTTAGAAACTATAACACCATGGAAAATTTTGGATAGTTTAGGGAAGTGCATTATTTGGTAATGTGAAAAATAAGATGGTCGTGATAAAGCAACTTGGGAAAAAAGAAAGGGCATGAATCTTGAGAACACGTACTTTCTGAGAATTTTCATGTTTAGAAAAGAGCAAGCTAAAAATCTGGAAGCGTGTTTTTTCACAGGCAATTTTCAATTGGCCTCATGCATTTCTGTGCATCTTGCAAATAGAAAGGCACTAGCTTCACATTTATTACAGGTTTTCCTTTTTAAAGATCTTTATATAGTGGATAGCCCTGGAAGATCAAGATATTGTTTATTTATGGATGAGAGAACAGATTTATTTTCAAGTAAAATGAAGATAGTGTTTCCTCCACAGAAAACATCAGACAAGTGTGCTTACTGCTCATTTATTAAAGATTTAAGTTTCCTTTACTTGGAGTTCTTCATCTGTGACACAAACTGTGTGTAGCATCAACTTGAACTCCTTGTCATCATCTCCAGTAAACTTGAGGGAAAACAGGAACCAGAGCAAAGATGAAGCTCGTGCAACTCTGTGCTGTGCTGCAAATAATGGAAGTCTTTCTGTCTCTGACCAAAGAGTTATGTGTCTTCTGCCAGCATCCATAAAACTGAAGCAGGCTAACTTGTAAGCTCAGATCCTTCACAGTTCTTGACAATAGTCCCTTAAAACTGTCTGCAGATGCACATCCCTTGGAAAAATTTTGCATCCTTTTAAGAATAATTAATATCCTAGTTAATGACAACTATATGACAGGATAGATCACTTTAAGCTTCTACCCAGATTACTATAACTTTTAGGTAAATAATGTATATGCCACTTTTTCTAAGGTTATCTAGCCATTTTCGATGTAGAAAACAATATTGTGTAAGATAAGCTGAGCGTATTTTTCACTTCGTTTTTGTTTTGCAAAACAATTTTACTGGTTTTGTTAATGCCCCAATCATCAGTACTGCTTGGTATAAGAGCCGAGTTTGAAGAATTATCATGTTGCAAATGTATTTTGCTCATTTATTTCAAATTAGTAGACAGAATTGAGAGGTGGAAAATTTTAGAAAAATCTTGGTTAATCATACTTGGAATTTGGTTATGTAATATCTCTTTCTCTTTTGGGGAATACAAAGGTTCATAAACTAGTGATAATCTTCACTCTTGGAACCATTAGATGCTATCATGAGGTTAGCACAGAAGATAAATTTATAATGTTGCAGTGAGGTAAGGAAATAAAACATGTAAGTCTTTGAAAACAACACTATGAGAGACCTTGCAGGCTAAAAATTAGACACCAAAGCATTTTTTGTTACTTTTGGAGAATAAAAGAAGTGTGCCCCTCAATGTCTTGTGGGAGAAAATATATAGTTTGATACACTTGTCAATATCTCTAACTCAAAAATGATGAGTATAACGAGTGACCCTTATTGTAGTCTTATATTTCTCTCCAACAATTAAGAGAGTTGGTGGGGATGTTTTTTCCATGAGTTCATCCTGGGCCCCAGGAGATTTTCATCTTGTATTCTCTTTATAATCCTATCTTAGTGTTTCATCCTCATGGCTAAGTTCAGCAATACTTCACAGTAAAATGTGTAAGAAGAGATGTAAAAACAATCGGCTTTGTCTTTATGGAGATTAACTTAAATTTATGCTCATAATATAATTCATATTATACTTGATCAAAATTAATCACTGATAAGAGACTATAGAAGGTAATCTCCTGCTTGTGGTCATAAGTACTTAGGATTCTATTACTAAACAAAATGAAAGAATGCATTATATGGACAATTAGTGGTCTCTAGTACAAAGAAATTACCAGGTCATTTCCAATTCTCAATATTAAAAAAAAGTTTATTTCTTACTGCACTATCAAATTGGAAAGGTCAGTACAGGGGCATTCAATAACAGTAAAAATATGAATAACAATCATATGTATAACAACAGAATCATTTAAAAAGATGTATATTTAAAATGTGATTATTGCATTTTATTTCCCCTGGCAGAAAATAATAAACTGGAGAAAAATCACATTTGATTGATGTCTGTTACATGGATTTTTAAAATTTGTATCAATGAATGCTTTTTAAAGGTAAACTAATTGAGGCCTACCAAAGATAAATAAATCTTAATTATTTTGGTAAATATATTTTACAGTTTCATTCTTTTTCAACTTAAGTTAGATAATATGTACTATATTCTCTCCTAATATAAATGTTTATGAGCATTGAAACTCCATCTGGAGAAAATAGAAACACTTTTAATTTAAATGACGTTTGAAGAAGGAAATGTATAAATGTATTCAAAACTGTAAGTGAAAATGGGAAGGTCCTATTAAAAAAAAAAGAAAGGATAAACAGTTTCCAATGACTTTTCTATAATATTAGCAAATTTATTATGATCTGTTATGAAAGACTGTTTTGCCTTCCTTGTTTCTACTGTCTCAACTCCCTAAGTACTAATTCAATTGAAAAGTTACTTCAGGTATGGGTCCATTTTAATGTCCCTCTACAAGATCTGCAGTGCCATTAATTATAATCATATAATCTTAGAGCCAAAAGGGCCCTTAGAGATTATCTAATCCTATTCTATTAATGCATGATGAAATGGGCTTAGCAATCTGTCTAAGGTTACACAAATTCAAAAACACATAGAAAGTTTTCATAATCAAATTAAATTAAAAGTACAAAACAATGTCACTAATTTATGTATAAGAAAATATTAAATATCATTTTATATGAAGTGATTCTGATAATTTTAATGAGTTCATAACAATGCTTCTAAATATTTCAAAATTTTAGTTTATCATCCAAATATAATAATATACACTTTTATAAGTGAGTCTTCTACAGTGAAAATTACTAATTATAGGAAAGAGAAAATCATAGATAAATAGGGTTGTATCAAACTCTTAAAATGTACATGTGGAAATTTAAAAATATCCTCTTGACAAGGGGATGTTGATGTCATTCCATAACAGGATTGACATGTGTAATTAAAACAAACAACAAAAATTAAGAATATATAAATAATATTTAAATGCTTGAATTTGTTATTTATAATGAATATTGAAATTTATTTAGTGAGATAAAAGGTTAACAAATTCTTGAATATAATTATACTACTTTTATAATAAAATGCATCCAAGCTGAAATCTCACTTCTGTTGTCAACTGCTTTGATGGTTCTAGACTCATTTCCCTATTTTTGGTGAGTCATAAGATGGATGACACACATGCTCAATAGCAGGTTATTTTCATGGCTAAGGTTTATCATAGCAAAAACTACAGAGCAAAACCAGTTCTACTCATATTTTTAATGAATAATAAGCTAATGATATCTTGTTATTCCTATGCTTTGTCTATCATACCTACACATAAATATAAGCACTGGTAAGTTCTGGTTCCAAACATAGCTTATATATGAATGCCATAATCATTCAACATGCATACATTAGCCTTGAATTTTGAAGATTAAAAAGTGTTTGTAAAACTACCTAGAAAAAATTTATTATGATTACAGCCACTATTAGATTTCAAAAGGGTTCATCAGAAATCTCTGAGGTATATGATGGGGAAAGAATATTTTGACTACCACTTTAACAGGTCTGCTATTTAATAATATTAGTTTCTTTTTAATTGATGTTTCATGGACATCCAGAATACTAGCTATAAAATCATATATGCTGCATAATGCAAGCAAAACAAAAGCACCTGTAAATATTACAGAAGACTATACATGTATGTATATCATTGCCATAAAATACCTATATACATATACGTATATACACACATAATTGTTTTCACAACCATGATAGTATTACTTACAAAAGCATGCAAATTTAGGGAGATGGCTAAATAAGTTATGGCTTTTTCATAAATTGTAAGCCTATTCATTATAAAATATTATTGAGGATCAACTTTCATTTGTTCCCCAACAAATTATTGAGCATCTACTATGCATATTCTAGGCCCATTTGTAGGGACTGGGGAAAAAATAGTGAAAATAACATTCAGAATGTCTTGGCTTCACAGAGCTGTTGTTCCAGTGTTGGGAGAAAAACAGTAATTAATACCACAAAGTATCATGTGTTGTATGCCAGATGGTTTAAGTTCTATTCTAAAAAATGTGGCAAAGAAGGGGAATAGAGAGTTCTGGGCACAAGAGGTGCTGGATACTGAACAAGATGGTTGCCGAAAGCCTCACTGGGTGGTATCATCTGAATACAATGAGTGGTTATGAGAGAATGAGCCAAGAGCATAATTGAGAGAACATATTTTCAGGGAGCAGAAATAGCAAATGAGGCCTTGGTGTATGAACGCACCCGTGAGGTTCCACTAAGGATGCCAATGTGATACAGCAGAGGAGATGAGATCACACTCCATGGGGAGATGGTCACATAAAGCTTCTTAGAAAATGGTAAGAACTTTTGTTTATTTAATTGGCAGCCATGAAGTATTTTAAACAGAAAAGCAATCGCCTCTTTAAAGAATTAGCAGTAACAGTTTGACTGATCTGTGAAAATAGACCATAGCATAGCAAAAGAGAAAACAGGGAAATTAGTGAGGAAACTATCGTGTAAACTATTCCTGAAGCTGTTGTAAACTATAAACTATGTAAATTATAAATTGAAATTGTTCTATGCAAACAAGATATATTTGAACCCTGTATATTAGAGGCAAAAGTCCATAATATTGGCAATGTTTTGGCCTGAACTATGGGAGGAACAGAGTTGGAATTACTCACCTGGGTTTAAATTTGGGAGGAGCAAATTTGGGATTAGAGGATAGGAAAGATCAATAGTTTTATTTTTAACAGGCTTAATTTTAAATAGACACTTAATCATATAATATATTTTAAATAAATTATTAATCATAAAATAATGTCAGGCTAATTCTAATACTCACCTATCAATTATAAATATATTCTGTTTTTTAAATAATAAATCTTATTAATTTTATAATTATCAAAGATGCTATAAAAAGAAATATTTTTTATTACTATGCTACTGATGTATTTCCATTGCATTGACTAACAAAATTAATACTAGAATTTTCAAAAGTATCCACAGTGGTTACTTTATTTGCACTGTTAATTCAGCTCTTTTTAAGTATACCTTCTAGTTCCCTAATTGATATAATTCAGAGACTACACTTGGACACAATTTAATGAATAAGCAAATTAGGTCCAGTTATTCCAATATGAAATTCCTTTTAATTATGGGCTACTTTTGGAGATGTAGAATAATTTGAATGTTTAATTTGGTGATTCAGTATGACCTACTTCACATTGTTTTATGAGTGGGTGAAAAATATAAGTGCTAGGAAATGTGTACCAGAAATAATTTGTCATCTAATTACATTTCAGAACATTATACCTCCTCAAAACTTTGTTTCAGCATATATCTCATTTTAAAAATCTATGTTGTATATATGTTTACTTCTTTAAAATTTTAAAAATGTTTGTGGCATTCACATAAAATACAGAAGAGAATAGCAATAAGTGACATACATATACTTCAGGACCTGAACAT
Organism: Homo sapiens; assembly: GCF_000001405.40. Lineage (NCBI taxonomy): Eukaryota > Metazoa > Chordata > Mammalia > Primates > Hominidae > Homo > Homo sapiens. The sequence goes on from NC_000009.12 coordinate 40,049,807, forward strand.
TTATATGACTACATTTTTTTCTTTCCTTAAAAAGAATATATTCAAATACATCATGAGAAAAATGTATAGCTTTATAGTTAGGATAAACCTTTAATTCAAGTGCTGTTACTTGAATTAAGGATGCACAAGCCCCGGACTCTACTCCACAAACCCCACCTGCTATTCTCACCACATAAATACCTAGGGAGAGGGATCTGTCTGAAGGAACCTTTCCCACAACAGCCTTTATTCAAAATGACACACCTGCCACTTTCCTGATGCCTACTCTTGTACTCCAACTGCAGAGTGATTTATTACACACAGTTTGCTTGTATGTTATATAACAGTGATTACATCAAGGATTTGGGTACTAGCTAACTGAATTGATATATTTGAAAGTACTTTATAAAACAGAAAGTGCTGAACAACCATTAAGTATACAGAATGATTTGGCAACAATCATATGTAGTACCATATTTTCTGAAATATCTATTTCTTAAAAAACAAGTTTCATTAAGTGTATTATTTGCTGAATAATCTCTCAAAAGTCATGTTTTCATATAGCTACTATTATTGCATTTTGAAATCAAACATTATTTTCTTTGCCATTTCAGAGAAGCCCTTGGTAATCCAGCCCGCAAATGCAATTCATGCGCATGGCTCTAAAGAGAAATGGGCAAACAAAAAGAAGTTTAACTACACATTCAATAATCATTTATTTATTTTCTTAGAGATATCTACAGTAGCTCTCTCTTATCCTTATTTTAATAAATGCTGACGTATAGAATTAGTGAGATTTTTGGTAATAATATTTTTTTTTGAGGCAGAGTCTTGCTCTGCCAACCAGGTTGAAGTGCAGTGGTACAATCTCCACTCCCTGCAACCTCCACCTCCTGGGTTTAAGCGATTCTCCTGCTTCAGCCTCCTGAGTAGCTGACAGGTGCGCACCACCACGACCTGGCTAATTTTTTGCATTTTTAGTAGAGATGGAGTTTCACCATGTTGGCCAGGCTGGTCTCACTCCTGACCTCAAGTGATCTGCCTGCCTCGGCCTCCCAGAGTGCTGGGATTACAGGCATGAGCCACCGCGCCCACCCGGGTTATAAATTTGTTATTCCTCCTGTGGTTGTTTGGATGTGTATTTGTGTGTGTGTGCACATATACATATTATTGAATTTACGACGTTACTCCAAAGGCTTTTCTTTAACTATTTTGCTTGATGTATATTCAACAATGATAGTCTCAAACAAACAAACAAAAAACAGACCACACATCTGATTTTTCACCAATACTGTTTATAGAATGAACCTGTATAGAGTCTGAGGCTATTCTGATGATAAATTGACTATAGGACTAGAAAAAACTATTTTGCCATTTTACAAACGCTCATTATGCACCTTATATAATAGTGCCAAGTTAATAAATTTGCTTCTATGTTTATAGTCTGCAACGGAAAAAACTTACGAGGTACTATTTTCCAGATGAAAGTGAAAGTGATGACAGATTTTATTTCTTCACTTAAATTATTAAGATATACCTTTATTATGTGAGCATAATCGATTTTATTGCAGGGAAGTCCCTTAATTCAGTAAAAAAGACAGGATTGCTTCTTGAATATTAAAACATTTTCATCTTTTCAGTTTTGCTTTTCTTGATTATCTATTTTTCTTTTTACTGAGTAGTGTATATCATTTTTTAATTAAATATAATTTAAATAATATTTTACAATAATCTAAAATGCTTCTGAATACTTCGTCAATAACTTTTGGATGTTCAATAACATTAAGAACGATTACATTTTTCAAATATTATTTTTGCATTATTTATATGTTTGCATTTTTACAAGTGTTCTAATCGCATATTGCAAGGCCAAATCAGAATTTTTAAAGACTTTATTTTATTAACATTTAATTATAGCAACAATTAAGAAATAAAACAAAATGACATAAAATTTTAAATCATATGAATAAATTAAACCTATATATTTAAATTACTTTACAATTTTAGTATTTTTCATAAATGTACAGAAATTTCATTTTGTGTCTGTTGTTATTACAATATTAAAATTATGTAATGGAAAAATAAATTAAGCATCAATTAAGACAGCATACATCTGTTGACAAAAGAAAGAGAAGGTATATTTGATTTCCTTGATTTTTTCCTCTCAAAATTGAGAAATAGTTTAATTTTATAAATCTATATCCATTTAAATTACTTAAGTCACCATTTTAGCCTAATTTTTTCATTTTCTAGATAGATTACTCTTTTTTTTTTTTTTTTAAAGGTATCATTTATTCTGGTTACGGGTAAAAGACAACTTTAGATGTGCAAATATTTAGATATATAATCACAATTAGTATTTTTACTTCATGAAATCTTTAGGCGCAAACTTTGCTGTTCTAAACTAAAATTTGGATTCCAATTCAAAAGCTAAAGACTATCATAGTGTGATTATCCCAAATGAACTCTTTTACCTAACACTTACTGAAATTTCAAGATAAGTAGTATTGAGATTCTACAAGTCAGTAAGAGGTCTTCTCCCTGTGAACTTTTAGGTTTTAAGGGCACAAGGAATTTAATGGCTACTGGGCTAAAGAATGTAATAACCACTATTGTGCATATGATTTTAGTCATATAGGCAAAAAGCCTAGGAGTTACATTGTTTGGTCAGATGGCATAAGTACAATTAATTGCAATATAAATTGTCAGATTGTTTCAAAAAGCTCTACAATAAATTATTCTTCACCAGAAATATATGAGAGAACACTAGAAACAATAAGTCCTATAGATATCTTTAAATGCTACCTATTTGATGGTTTTTCTGGTGACATTCCTGTGTTATTTTAATTTGTATTTTCTTTACCACCCATGAATCTTAACAGATTTTTCTATGAAAGTTCAGCACTTTGATTCATTCTTCTGTGGACTGACTGCCTGTGCCTATCCACTTCCCTGGCTCTCTTGCTTGGTGTGTGCATGTGGCTTAGTTTTAGCAAATAGAATATTTGCTGTCCCTGAGCCTTAGTCTTAAATCCTTATACAAGCACTTTTTCTTGTTATCTTACCTGTTTGTCTGACTTGGGTGATGATTCTTAGAGTAATTTTGGTTGCCAAATGTTAAAGTTAGTAGAACTACTATAAGCCTCTGAGTGGCTAAATGGTAGTTATTTCTGTGGCCTGAATACTCTTATGAGATATTCAGAGAGATTGAGAGGGAAGAATTATTTTTGAAGACATGGAATTTTTATTTTCTATTCCTTAGAACAGTTTAGTTTACCCTAAATAGTAACTACCTATTATTTTCCTCTGCTAATTTTTCTTGAGGCTCCTAACTTTATCAGGTGAATTTTAAGACATCTGTGAGGCTGGGCACGGTGGCTCACACCTGTAATCCCAGCACTTTGGGAGGCTGAGGCAGGCGGATCACGAGGCCAGGAGTTCAAGACCAGCCTGGCCAACATGGTGAAACCTCGTCTCTACTAAAAAGAAAAAAAAATAGCTAAGTGTGGTGGCGGTCGCCTGCAGTTCCAACTACTCGGGAGGTTGAGGCAGGAGAATTGTCTGAACCCGGGAGGTGGAGGTTGCAGTGAGCCGAGATCGTGCCACTGCATACCAGCCTGGGTGACAGGCAAGACTATATCTCAAAATAAATACATACATACATACATACATACATACATACAAACACATATATGTAATGTATAAATATTACCTTTTTGTCATCTATTTAACAAAATATTTGCTCAAATATATCCTTCCATCTGACAACTATTTAACATTACTTTTCTAATATTTTTACCTTATTGCTGCTGACTTGATACATTTTTATTCATTCCACTACATCCTTGTTATTTTGGAAGATCTATCCTTTATTTCTTTATTAAGGGGTATCTTCAATTTTTTGACCTCACAATTAGATGCATAATTTTCAAGTACTATTTGAAATAAAGATGCCTTCTATTGTCTTAGCAAATTAGTCAATTTCTCTACTTACCCCTCCTCAATAAGTTGACAAATTCAAAAAACATAAATTTCCCCATTTCTTTTTCACCACTCCCCTCCAAGAAACCTTGGAACCAGTTTGTTCCAAGGTTTGTTCCCACCAAAGTCTAGATTATACAAAAATATTTTAGAATGTTAACGATATATTGTTAGTAAAATTCTTCTATTGAATAGTTTATGATAATTTGTCAACATGAAATGTTAGGCAGACATTGAATACCAACTAGAGCTATTCATATTCTCTTAACGGGATTTCCATTGAGTTATTGATGAAAGATAAAGTGATATAAAGAAAATGTGTATACACCGAGTGCAAAATATTTTATACCCTTTATGTGGCCATGAATATTAAATCACAGTTATGGGAGGAAATTGCCAAATACATATATTAGGCTGTTAAAAACTGTTTTTCTGAGCTCTGGAAACTGATGGATAGGCATAGCAGAAGAGAGCAGAAGCAAGCCAAGAAATCAAGGAAAGGATACAGCTATATAACAAGAAATAAAATAAAAGTACGTAATGTAATTCCCTTAGAAAATGAAGTAGGGTGACTGAGAAGATGTGGAGAACCTTTATACCAATTTCCTTTTTCTAATCAGATTTGATTATAAAACATCGACATAAAATCAATATATGTGCATTATATTCATTTCAATTTTAACTTCAAGACCTAATTTTGCTGTCTTAAAGATCATGGATAACTCCATCTTAACTCAGTGTTCAATCTATAATTCATTAAAACAGTTTTCAAAAGAATTTTCAAAATACTTTATTATGATTACAACCATACTTAATCTTCAATTAGGACATACTATGTGATAAATACTATGGTGAAGTACTTCTCAATAATCCATATTCTTAAACACAACAAGTTCTAGGATCAAACTGCTTAAATTTATATATTTGCTCAATCATTTGCAACATAAATATTTTACAGATGAAGAAACTAAAACACTTTTTTTTTTCTCCGAAACTGTTTCAGGGCTAACTAACTTACTCATGAGCTTGGTAAAAATAAAAATTATTAGATACCTTGTGGATCCGTTGCATATATTTCAAATTTAAGTTTTTGAAGCACTTTTTGAAAAGACTTCTTTATGTGACATTTGTTCATTAAAAACACAGTGATTCTTTTTTGAAATACGATCCAATTGTAAAATATCCTGTGTCTAGAAATGAATTTATTTTCCTAACAAAAATGAATTAAATTAATTAATTAATTAAATTCTCAGAACCATTATTTAAACCAAGTGTGTTGATCCTACAACCAGTGAAAATAATCCCTACAATGCTAAAAATGTGTGTGCTATTATCCATCTATTTCCTAGTTCATTAAAGCCAAGTTATCATAATCTGGACTTTTTACCAAAGATTTTCAGGGATGTCAAAGGTTTTTACTCCTAAATTTAATATGCTGAAATATTACTTTATGTTCTATTTATTTTTATTCATTTAAAATAACATTTTTCTCTATGTTGCGATTGCAAAAATTAACTTATTTACATATATACATGATGTCATGATATACTCTAGGCACAATTTTGGATATTTCCTTTTCCCAATCTGTTTAACTTACACAGGTAATCAATATATGTAATCACCAAGCAAAAGACCTTCCTTGGTTTCTATTTTGTTATTTTTTCCTCTGGAAAAGAGTTTAAGATAGTTTTAACATGAAGAATAGCAACCATATTTTTTGCATACTGTTATTTCTTCAAAGACGCTTAATCTATATAAACAAATTTTAAAAACCCTGGTATCAGTTAGGTAAAATCTCTGAGATTTAAAATATTTACTAAGCTACTAAATGTTAAGCAACACGGGATTTTGAGAGATTGGCCAATGGCAAGGATTGTAAGGGAACAAAAACTTGGAAACAATGCTGTTTGTCGACATCTTGAATAATTTGCTGTGCCTCTATTTTATGTCACGGTATTTCCACTTCCAGGCCTATACAAATAAATAAAATCAGTGTTATACACAGAATAGGTACACACACACACACAAGCGTTCAGATATAAAGATTTCAACTGTAGCATCATTTGTAATAAACAATATTGGAAACAATGTTGGTATATATTGCTAAGAAAATGTGTTGAGATCAATTTAGTATAATTATATAATGAGATATATGATTATTTCATTTCTTTATGGAATGAGTGTAATGGGAAAATCCAGTGGAAAGCTTACGTTAAAGCTAAGAAAGTTAAATCTTTAAGACCTTTCATGTGTATGGGTCTTTCTCGGGGTCATATGAGTTTTGCAAAATTTGCTATGTAAGATGCTTAATTAAAAATAAGAAAAGCCACACCTGTTTTGACTCCCATTTGCCTTTAGTCATTTATCTCCCTGTCAGGTAGTGCGGGTCCAGCCTACAGCACTTTTAGTATTCAGCTAAGGGGAAGTTGAAGAGAGACATATTTAATTTCAGTTCATTGAGGTTAATGTGCTTGATTTAAAGCCACTTCCATGTAAAATGAATTTGTTTCTGGCAGTTCAGAGACTTTCTATTGCTCACTCCATAGATTCATCCAGTGTCGTAGCACAGAGGTGCAGAGGCAGGAATGTTGTGAGACACATGTCATGCAGTACTTGGTACCAGAGGCTGCAGAGAAGGAAAGAAACAGCTGCCCTTAACCTAGCTCTCCTTTCCACTAATTCTTACCGTGGTGGTGATGTGGTGAGAACCAGATGTCCTACATGTAAGGGGATCTGCTGTAGGCAAAGAACTCTGGAAAAAAGAACCTGAGCATTTTTGTGGAAGAGTGACCCAGTTGCTCTGACCCCCTTCTGAGTGCGTCTCCATAGTCACAAAATGGAAAAAAATCTGAGTTCTTACTCTAACCATTTGGATAAAAATAAATCACTCTAGGGGAAAGATAACACTAGAGTCTCCAGCTTTGTAACTTCTGGGATGCATCTACTGGGTCTCATCTTCTCTTGAAATGTAAATATATATCCCTAGTGAGGTAAATCCCTCAGGATGGCCCCTAACCATGTTCTTTCTGTGAATTAATTTCCAGAGCTAGTTCTTAGCGTAGAGCAGAAGTCTGAGTAAAATTTGTTGAGAAAGTTCTTACTATGCATAAATAACTTTATTTACAGCCTAACACTATCCATTAAAATCAATAAGAGAAAGACAAACTAATCCAAAATGACCCTGCAATCGGGGCTCTAAAACAATGCAGGTTGACTGTAATTGTTAAAATGAATTTGGAAAGTATTTGACCTTATCTGTTAAAATTAAGTATATGCATACCCTGTGACCAATAATTCTGCTACTATCATCCAACAGGAACACATAAACATATTCAGCAAATGTACAAAATTTTTTATTAAAGAATTATTCACAACAGCTTAAATTGGAAGTTTTGCAGTTATCCATCAAGAGTAAAATAAACACATCATAGCATATATATACATACATGGAGCATTATCAAGCAAGAAGGATAAATGGTATACCCAAGAGAGCTTTGATGACTCTCCTAAATATATTTCTGAGTAACAGAAGCCATCCAGAAAAGAATATATATTGTTTAATTCTATTATAAAAGTTCAAAAATAGGTTAAAAAAAGTCTATGTTATTAGCAATCAGAATAATAATTACTTGCAGATAGAGCAGATGGTAATTTAAGGGAATTTTATTGTGAAATATGTACAATCACTTTGTTAAAATTAATTAACTATATACTATTTGTGTATTTCAATAAAAATGTTTAATAAACTATCTCATCGTTGTTATTTACATTTATTAAATAGCATTTAGGCATGGGTGAAAAGGTTTAACTTGACTGGCCTGAATTACTCAAATACTATACATTCCAAAGAGGGGTCCCTCTGCAGGACTAGACCTTAGACTAGGAGTTCATCTCTGAGCCCTTGGAGTATTTTGCTTGATAAAAGTGTTCTTGTTTTCCTAAAGTCTTGGGCCATACTCTCCCAGTTGGACCAGAAAAGGTTATGTTATCAACGTGACTTATGTGAACATCTGTTTTTACTCTGGGTGTAGGAAGAAAGTTGTGCTTAAATGTCATGGAGCTGAGGTCAATCATATGGGCATTACATGACTATGTGACTGATCCCAGTAAACACCTTCGACAACTAGACTCCAGCGAGTGTTCCTGGTTGGCAATGCTTTGTACTTTACATATTGTTGCTGGGATAATTAAACATGTCCCCATGCAACTGCTCTGGGAGGGGACACCTGAGAGCTTGGACTTGGTTTCTCCTGGAGTTCACTTCATTTGTCTTTTCTCTTAGCTGACTTCTATCTGTACTGTTTTTACTGTAATATACTGTAACAATGAGTACTACAGCTTCTGATTCCCTTAGAGACTTCCAATAAATTACCAGGTCTCAAGTGGTCTTGGGAACCCCTGGCATATTACTGAACTTAAAGTTTTCAGAATATCTGTATTTGGTATATTCCATGGCAAGCACTATATCCATCACACTTTTTCATTTATTGACATAACTCCAAATATTTCCACATATCTAAAATTCAGGAAAGTAACCCTATCCTTACCTCTGAGGATAAAGCTTGTTAAGCATAGGTAAACCATGATAATTTAAATTCACCTGTTTGTGACTGACTTTTTTTAATGACTGTTTTTAGTCAAGAAAATGTGAAGGTAGGTCTGCCAAGAGCTACTGAAAAGAGTTACATTTTCTAAAAAAAAAAAAAAATCCTCATCTTTTCTCTTTGAGAATAATTTGTGGTGTTTCTGAAATCATTGTCTGCCCATAAAGAGAGATTACTTAAACAAAAAGTCTGTATAAAATATGACTACAGAGAAAGATGAGAAAAAAATCATATTCTTGATTAATTTATTGATCTATTAAATTAATAGTCTAGGAAGTAGATCCCTCTTTGGACTTCCAGTTAGAGACAGGGCCTTACTCTATGGCCCAGGCTGGAGTGTAGTAGTGCCACCATAGCTCATTGTGTAGCTCACCGCAACCTCAAACTCCTGGACTCAAGCAAACCTCCTGCCTCAGCCTCCCAAGTGGCTGGAATACAGACAGGTGCCACCATGAACACACCTGGCTATTTTTTTTTCAGTTGTAGAGCTGAGGTCTCCCTATGTTGCTCAGGCTGGTTTTGAACTCCTGGCCTCCAGTGAGCCTCCCACCTCAGCCTCCCAAAATGCTGGGATTCCAGGCATAAGCCACCAGACCTGGCCTATTTATAGTTTAAATTTTCTCATCGTCTAAATAAAAGATCTAGGCCGGGCGCGGTGGCTCACGCCTGTAATCCCAGCACTTTGGGAGGCTGAGGCGGGTGGACCATGAGGTCAGGAGATCGAGACCATCCTGGCTAACAAGGTGAAACCCCGTCTCTACTAAAGATACAAAAAATTAGCCGGGCGCGGTGGCGGGCGCCTGTAGTCCCAGCTACTGGGGAGGCTGAGGCAGGAGAATGGCGTGAACCCGGGAAGCGGAGCTTGCAGTGAGCCGAGATTGCGCCACTGCAGTCCGCAGTCCGGCCTGGGCGACAGAGCGAGACTCCGTCTCAAAAAAAAAAAAAAAAAAAAAAAAGATCTAAAACTAATTGTCTAAGTTGGTGGAGCAGTCAGAACACACACATTTATTGATTAAATTCATTGTCTTATATGGATGTGGTTCATGGTGCCCAAAACAATTACAATAGTAACATCAAAGGTCACTGGTTACAGATTATCATATCAAATATAATTATAGTTAAAAAGTTTGAAATATTGTGAGATTTACCTAGATATGGCACAGAGATACAAATGAACACATGCTATTACAAAGTGGTGCCAATAAAGTTGCTTGATGCAGGGTGGTCATAAACCTTCAATTTGTGTAAAACACATTATCTGTGAAGCCAAGTGAAGCAAAGCACAATCAATTGAAGTATGTCTATATTCCACTGCCTTTTTAGAGTGTATATAGTTGTATTACATAACATACATAATATATATACAAATATATATAATATATATACAAATATATATAATATATATACAAATATATATATTATATATACAAATATATATAATATATATATTTGGGTATATGTAATATATATTATATATATTTGTATATATATTATACATACATATTATATACATATATAGTATACATATATATTATACATATATATTATATATATATATATATATTTGATATGGACTGTGTCTTGTTTCCCCAAAATTAATATATTGAAGCCTTAACTCTCAATGTGTTAGCATTTGGAGGTGGGACCTTTGGAAGTAATTAGGTTTAGATGAGCCCATAAGGATGGGGTCTTCATGATGGGATTAGTGCTCTTACAGGAAGAGACCAGAGAGCTAACGCTTTCTATTCACTATGTACGTACATAGGAAAAAGGCAGCCCTTTGAAAGCCCAGAAGATGACCCTCCTCAGACTTGCCAGGTTCAAGAACTATAAGAAATAAATGTCTATTGTTCAGACCAGCGCCTATCTTATTTTTATATAGCAGCCTGAGCTTACTAAAACAATTATTAAGAAAAAACAGCAAAGCAAACAAACAAAAGCAACTATGTTTAAAACTCCTGGAAAAATAATTTATCTTCTGTGCAGCTGTTTTTTTAAGATTTTCCTTTAATGTATTTCCTCTCATTTTTCTTGCGTCTTATTTGGAGTCTGTAGTAGCATAGTTCTTAATTTGCTTATCAAGTAATTTACATCATATTAAACATGAATTTCAACCAGCAAAGAATATTATTAAAACTTCTGGACTAATGTTATTCACTTGTATTCTTTCCTACTACCCGGAAATGCTTTTGCTGGCAATGATTTCTCCTTTGATGTTGTGAAGTTTCGGGCCATTGTTAGAGAAACAGGTCCACTTGCTGATTAGCAGGCAGTAGGCTTTGTGACCTAAGTTCAGTAACAGAAGATCATTACTTTCTCTGGCAATTTGATACAACATGCTTCATATATTCCAAAATTCATCAATTTTCTGCTCCGTTGATGTCCTCCTTTATTATGTTAAAGAGTTGCCACAGTATAGTTTATTCATAATGCTATTTTCAGTTGAATTACTAGAGCTCCACTTTAGCATTTTAAAATCATATTATCGCATGTTTATTTCCAAATTAAAATCCTCTCTTAAAAATCAGGGATATCAGTATTCATCTCTTTTTATGTAAAAATATTAAAAAATTAGAAGTGAAATATCACAGAAGATATTTTAAATATGAAGACAAATAATGAAATAAGGAGAATTTTAAAAGCCAAATATTTTGGATCAGAGTAAGAAGTTAGTGGTAAAAGATAAAGGTTATCCAACAACCTTTTGCAAATGAAGCCAAAAAAGTAGGTTTGTGCAACAGTGAATAACTAAAATTACAACTCTTTTATATTTCATTAAAAAACATGCCCTTTTTCAAAATGTCAGATCGGTTTAATCACACCATAAAATTATTTACCCAAAGTTAAGGAAAAATAGCATACTGTCATATAAGTAGAAAATTTAAATACACAATTGATATTTAACGTTCTCTAAGCAATGTAAAGATTTCTTTTAAGACATCTAACAGAGTTGTATTTATTATTAGGGATCAAAAAGTGTGTAAATTAGCACAATATATTTTATATAAAATGAATCTGATTGTGTTTTCTCTTATAAGAGTATACAATTATAATTCTGAATTTTGAATTTATTCTTAAACAAATAAAAACAACTGCTATATCTGAATTCTTGTTTTATGTCACTCTTGTGCATATTTTTTACTATCTATATTTTAGGCATTTTCTAGGTTTAAGTATGCACAGTTGGAGCTTACTCAATATAGCCTAGCAATGCTCCCTGTTTCTTTTTTTTAACCTTTAATTTCAGGGGTACATGTGCAGGTTTGTTATATAAATACATTTGCATCATGGGGGTTTGTTTTACAGATTAATTCATTACCCAGGCATTAAGCCTATGACTCATTAGTTATTTTTCCAGATGGTCTCCCTCCCCCGACCTTCTGCCCTCTTGCAGGCCCCGGTGTCTGTTGTTCCCTTCTTTGTGTGCATGTGTTCTCATCATTTAGCTTGCACTTACAAGTGAGAGAATGTGGCATTTGTTTTTTCGTTCCTACATTCATTTGCTAAGGATAATGGCCTTCAATTCCATCCATATTCCTTCAGAACACATGATCTCATTCCTTTTTATGGCTACATCTTATTCCCTGGTGTATATGTTCAACATTTTATTTATCCAGTCTTTACTATTGATGGCCATTTAGGTCTATTCCATGTCTTTGTTAATGTGAATAGTGCTGCAGTGAACATATGTGTGCGTGTGTCTTTATAATAGAACAATGTATATTCCTTTGGATATATACCCAGTAATGGGATTGCTGGGTCTAATGGTAGTTCTGTTTTTAGGTCTTTGAGGAATCACCACACTGTTTTCCACAATGGCTGAATTAATTTACATTCCCTTTAACAGTGTATAGTGTTCCTTTTTCTCTGCAACCTTACCAGCACCTGCTATTTTTTGACTTTTTAATAATAGCCGTTCTGACTGGTGTGCTTACTGGTTCTTAATCTCACCCACATCTTAGAATAATGTGGAACATTTCAAACTACCCACACCTCTTTCTAAAAACTGAAGTTCTGTTTTAATTGGACTTTAGTAGAGCCAAGAAATGAGTATTACTTAAAATCTTGCCATGTGATTCTACTAGGAAGCCAGGGTTCAGAGCCATGGATTACATTTTTAATATAAATACACATTATTAGTTGAAGCAGTTTTAAGTTAGGATAGCTGTAACGTTGATTGAAAGGGGAATACTTAAAACAGAACCCTGCCTTAGGTCGTCAAGACTTAAAAAATTCTTCTGTTTTTATTCTATTAAATATAATCATGCATTCATTTACTTTAGCATTTATAATTCTAAAACACATTGCAAATTTCACAAAACTACCATTTTCTAAATGTCAACACTCTAAATACACCATTTATTTTTCAAAGTAGTATATTCACTTCAAATTCCATTGCTGTGTCAAGAGTTAGTTGAACTTAAAATATAATTAATAGTTACTCAGCAAAAATAGAAAGATGTTAGCTGACTGTGTCAAAAGAAATATTTTAACACTGATTTCATTTTTACTAAATGACTGAATTTTTCTTTATATTTTATGCTTAAGCTTCTCTGCTTTCTTTCTATTTTTTGTGGTTTAAATAAAGAACCATGATTATCTGTATAACTGATTGCTCAAAGTAATTAATCATTTTTCTTATGAAATTACCAGGGTAAATTAAGAATCATAATTACAGAGTTTTCTCTTGTCTAGAGGAAACATACTGAGAAACTGTGTTAGGAAATTATTATTTCAAAACCCAGTCTAAGTTCTCAGCCACTGGACTTTAAAAAATACATATTACATATACTTTTTCTAACATGATTGAGAATATAGTTTGTTTCAGATTTCCACATTTCTTAAATGAAAACAATAAAGAATTCAAAAGGCAAAAGGTACTGTAAAAAAAAAGGTATTCGATCTCATGTAAATGAGAATCCTACACTCTCACTGAATTTTACTAGAGGGGAACTTATTGTCACATCAGATTGTTTGTTCAAGACACTATTTCTGATGTATTTTATTAAAGAATTCAAAAGGCAAAGGTATTGTAAAAAAAGTTATTTGATCACATGTAAATGAAAATTCTACCTTCTTATTGAATTTTACTAATTAGAGGGATAATTATTCTCGCATCAGGTTATTTGCCAAGATACTATTTCTGATCTATTTTATTAAAAGTCACCATTTATCATTGGTTTTCATCTCATGTTATATATGCAAATGAAACTCCTTTGAGTATGCAACGGTTATTTACTGCAGTGAATATCGTATAATCATATTTATCAAAATGTTCTTCTTTGAAATATTTTTCTAGTGCTTATTAGCAAACAGTTTTTATATTTGAGAAAGTGAAACGTGGACTTTAGAATCAGATTTAGGCCATATGGTAAGCCAGTTGCCTGAAAAATCTTCATAACAAATGCTAATATTGATGAATTTTGGAGATGTCATTATATATGTATACCTAAAACTACAGGAAAACAAAGAAACTTACCAATGCCAGAAACACAGGCAACACTTAAAACCAGCAAGACCAGTTGCTCTGACTTTTCTGGATGGCAAGAGAGATGGACCCAGCAATTTATAAATTTGGATTTTTTTTTTTTTTTTTTTTTTTTTGAGACGGAGTCTCGCTCTGTGGCCCAGGCGGGACTGCAGTGGCGCAATCTCGGCTCACTGCAAGCTCCGCCTCCCGGGTTGACGCCATTCTCCTGCCTCAGCCTCTCGAGTAGCTGGGACTACAGGCGCCCGCCATCACGCCCGGCTAATTTTTTTTTGTATTTTTAGTAGAGACGGGGTTTCACCGTGTTAGCCAGGATGGTCTCGATCTCCTGACCTCGTGATCCACCCGCCTCGGCCTCCCAAAGTGCTGGGATTACAAGCGTGAGCCACCGCGCCCGGCCAAATTTGGATTTTCTTAATGCTCATCAGCGAAGGGGTGATGCATAGCTGGACCTAGATTGAAAGAGTAAAGAAAAATACTTATTAACCAACCCAGTATAATTAAGAAGTTTGTCTGTAAATACTAGAACAATTGGTAGAAAAAACAAATACATATTCTCCCCTGAGAATCTGTAACATCAGGATTATCCATCATGTGTTGTTTGACTTCAAATTTTTAAATTGTACAGCCTTGAACCATGAACCATCAAATTAACAAATTAACATATAGATTATTTTCTGGCCATTGATACACTGGAAGTTGGGTGGAAGAGATGCAAAATCATTCCAGAGCAAAAGCTGAAAATTTTTTTCTGCAAAGGGCAAGATAATAAACATCTTAGGCATTATTGACCATTTTAAAGAGCAGCTTATAGTCACCAAAAGGAATATCAACAAACTAGAAAGTGAAGATGAAGAATTATCCAGAATGCAGAATATGAACCAAAAGATAGAACATAAGATAAGCTGAAAGCCATGGAGGATTGAATAAAACTATCCAAGGAATATCTAAAAGAAATTCTGAAAAGAGAATAGTAGGAATAAAAATAATGGGATTATAATAGTTTGCTTCTACTTCTGGGATGAATGTAGTAGTTGTATAAGACACATACTCTTATTAAAATGACAAGAAAAAGCTGGATAAATTATAAAAGCCATATATTTTTTAAAGCATGAGGGAACTGTAGAAACAATGATGAATAGATGAACTAAGAGTACAGACATACCTGAGTGTTCGAAATGGGCCAAAGAGCATGATGCATTCATAGCGTCTACTAGTCAATTCTGGCACAAATTAGGAAGTAGAAGGCATGTTCAATGGAGGCAAAACAGTAATATATATATAAACATGTGGGTAAGTCTAAAGAAGCATTTGCTATATTGAATCAAACAAATACAATAAAGTAAAACAAATACTAGAGAACATCGTTAAGCTGAGTTAAGTTTGGCTCAAAGTGCCCATTGTACTTGCCTAATTAAGTTTGGCCCAAAGCGGCATCCATACATAGTGACTGTACTCTAACTTAATGTGTAGATAAGTTGTAAGCTAATGTAGATATATGGACTTGTAACCAAGCAACTGAGACTCAACCAATCATAGGAGCCAAACCCTTAGTCAATCCTAGGCTGAATGCTGCCAAATTATGCCCAAATAAGGCAAATATTGAACTGCACCAATCAGGGAAACTCTGAATATAATTGTATATGTTCTGGTTATAAATACATCTCACCACTCTGGATGTGGAGTCACTCTGAACAATCTTTGTTCTGGGATGGTGCCTACTTCTCAAACCTTTTTCTTGGTCAAATAAACTTAGTGAAATTTAACATGTCTTAGTTGCATTTTTTTTAAACAACATTCAAAGACCTACAAAATAGGACAGGGAACTTGTATTTAGACTATACTGTCTAAATGCAACGTATTTATGCTAGTTATTTGTGTGTTATAGAGAATATAGTGATATTGATATACTTTAAGTCATTTATGTACATCGGGAAGAGGAAAAAAAAGTTACCCAATTCAATGGAAGTCAAACGAAGAAGCAGAACAGAGCTACCAGAAAAACATGATAAGAGTTAAAGAAGATGGGAGCTCAAAGAGGAAAACTGTCACTGAATTTGGGGAACTTTTCCTTGCAAGCCAAGTTAACTTTTATTCAGATAGAATTCTCAGATGAAAAAGAAATTATAGTCTATGGCTGACAAAATATAGAGAGTCTGCCCAGAGACTTTTGCTATTCTAAGCTAGAATCATAAGGTTAATACACTCCAATGAAGGAGAAAACAAGAACCAGCTCTTGAGCATACTTGAAGTCTGGGACCAAATCTGAGTTGTTCAGATACTCATATTTTCACCCTGATTTAAGATGATCTGATATGGGTAATGCTTGCATAAGCAAAACTTCTGGAGGAACTTACCTCCATAGTAGACAACAAGGTAATCTTAAACTATCCTGACACTAATTGGGTGTATAAACTTGGCCAAGTAATTTTTCCCTTTGAGTCTCAGTTTCCTCAACTGTAACGTGAATATGAAAGTAACTAACTTGTAGGTCTATATTAAAAATAAAGTCAATTATTTTGGTAAATCATTTGTATGCAATATAGCATACATGAGAGAGAGAGAGAGAGTTTGTATGCATGTGTTTAGAGAGACATGGAGAGAGAGACACACATACACAGAGAAGAATCAGTATATTGTTAAGGATAACAACATCCAGAAACAAATCGACAGACAAGAAAAACAATTTAAATAATAGAATTATCAGACAGAAGTTAAAGAACAAAACATAGGCTTAAAGATGCACATAGGAAAATACAAATATGATCATGGTAGATTTAGAAAGGAAATACCTGCTAGAAGTAACAGAGAACTACTAGAAAATTAACGAAGTGCAGTAGGAAGAAAGAAAATAAATTATTGAAGAAAAGTTTCAAGATACAAAGGATAAAGTTAAATGTTAATATATGTCTAAACTTTACCAGGAAAAGAGAGACAAAGGCAATAACTAAGGAAATAATAGAGAATGTTTTTAGTACTGATTGAAGACAGATATAAGCAGATTTAAGAAGGTCAACAAATTCTGAGTGGAGTAAGAAAAGTACAATGAAGAAAACAAAAGACAAAGCCAAAATTCTGTAAAGCAGCCTGAAAATAAGGCTTATTACCATTAAATAACAACATTTCAGTCTATAGAAACTTACATCCTAGGAGAGGGAATACTTTAAATAAAAAAGTAATGGATGAAAAGAGAAAAATTCCATCAAGTGGGATAACTGTTATCCATAAAGAAGTAGCAGGTGAGATGGGGAGTAAAAAAACAAACATATATAAATCCTCTTATTTTATATATTATAGCTCAATTTTATTCCCATCTTTGATAATCCAAAAATTATACACTGATCAATATATCTGTTCTAAATGTTAAGATTCCAACAGGTAGATCATGTCTCTCAAAATGTGTTGCACATTGCCTCAACTGGAGGTTCATGATGCATATTAAAATAAGAAAGGCTTAGAGAATTCTTACAGCAAGGAAAACAATGTAAGTTTATTTAATTTAGTGTTTTAGCTATATATTTAATAATTATTTTAGGTAGGCAGTTGTTTAAAGACAATAGAAATTACTTGGAATTTAAAGCAAGCAAAAATGAATGCGTTGGAAAAGCACAATGCAGCTCTTAGAATTGAAAAAAAAAGTAGGTGAACCAGCCTCAGGCAGGAATCAGAGAGCAAGTCAGAACCAATATCAGAAAAAGGAAGTTCTGCTTTTCATGTGGCTATTGTCCTGTCAGTCATGACCGCTGGCCACTGCCAGCAAAGCATGCACAGGCATTTTCTGGAATGCTGCTGGGCTCTGCTTTAGCTTGTCACTTCCCACTTTACCATTGGATTCAAAAAATCTATCCATCTGACAGGAATAATTTCAGACTCTCTGCCTACTTCTTACCTTGCAAGGTTAAAAATGCAAGGAATGAGTGGCTATTCTTGGGTCTCTGGTTTACATTTTAGCCTCCAGTTGGTGGGAAGAGAAAAATCTACTCACAAACAGCTTCAAAACGGAAAGGTCCTATATTGGCATTCCTACATAAAAGAAAGTACTGGGGGGCTTGACAAATGGACATTTGTCTTCAAAGAACACATATTCTCCTTTAGACAAAGTTTGCACTTATATAGCACAATTAACCTACTTCTTATCAATCAATAAAACGAAGAGACAATTACAGAACAGGATAAGGTGTTTGCAAACTATGTATTCAACAAGGTTTGATATCCAGAATATATAAGGAACTCAAAAAACTCAATAGCAAAAGAAAAAGTTGATTAAAAAATGGACAAAAGAAGACATACAAATGGCCAAAAAATATATAAAGAAATGCTCAACATCATTAAGCCTCAGAAAAATGCAAAACAAAACCGCAATGAGCTATTACCTTATCCCAGTTTAAATGATGGATATTATCAAGAAGACAAAATATAACAAATGGAAACGATAATGTGGAGAAAGAGGAATGTTACACACTGTTGGTGGGAATTTAAAATAGTATAGCTGTTATGAAAAGCAGTATGGAGTTTCCACAAAAAATAAAAAAGAGAACTATTATATTACCCAGCAATCCCACTACTGGGTACGTAATCAAAAAAAATGAAATTAGTATGTCAAAGAGACATCTGCACCCAGGGATATTGAAGCATCATTCAAAATAGCCGTGATATGGAATCTGCCTAAATGCTCATCTAACAACAAATGGATAAAGAAAATGTGGTGTATAAATGTATATCTATCTATCTATCTATCTATCTATCTATCTATCTATCTATCATCTATCTATTTATCATCTATCTATCCACCCCTCCAGAACAATATTCAGCCATAAAATGCTGTTATTTTTAGCAATGTGGATGAAGTTGGAGGACACTTTGTTAAGTGAAATAAGCCAGGCACAGAAAGACAAGCACTGCATGATCAAATTCATATCTGGAGTTTTAAGGATATGGAGAAAGATGTTAGGTTTTTTCCTTGTGTGAACAATATTTAAAATTATTATATTTGGAGAGATAACTAGAATACTTCTGCCAACTTAACTATGACCCATTGAATTGCTCTGAATTATAAATCAGATACTCTGAATTAGCACTTCACTACCATTTTTAAATCTACAGCATTTATATAAATTAATAACTGCTGTAGAGCATACTACTCATGGCTGAAAAAAGTGACCTGATGATTCGAGCTATCTAAGACCCACCTGATGTCTGACAGCACTAAGGATCAAGCTATCACCTCTCCCTTAACACATCTTTCACACCAGTGTGCTAGAGCAGATAGCTGAAAAGTTTTCCCTAAGCCAGAGATCATTCTGACAAGGCATGTGGAACAATGGAGATGTCAGCATGCTTTCAAGACAAGTAACAGTAATCCTGGCTGTTAACTTGCTTTAATAATAATGAATTCTTTTATCAAGTCCTGAGGAATGAGGGCTTCCAGGTGCCGTATTTCCAGGTGCTTATCAGAATTTTTCTTTGCTGATAAGAACAATTGTTGCAGCATGCTTTGCTAATCATATACAGAAAGACAAGAAATTTATATTCTAATAATAGAACACAAGTCCATCTCTTGCATCTGATTTAGCCAGATTAAGTCACCTTTCCACCAATATCAATCTGGAAGTGATATCATGAACTAAATGGTGTCAACCTGGGGTTTGTATTATATCTCGACAAAGGAAAAGAAGTTGCCATCATTGGCAAGGTACATACAGGATACATCTCTGTTTCGGCAGATGGGATGAGATTTCCCTGATTCTCCTACACTGCAGAGGGTAGAGGGAGGTATTTATATAATACACAGAATTTTAATTGAAGAAGCAAAGAGGAATGGATTAATGGGATTAATAGTGTTTATCCAATACAAGATGAAAAACAACATATTATTGTTTGTATCATGATGGTTCTAGAATAAAACACATCATTTCTCTAATTTTAGTTAGATCTTTGCTGAAAGAAAAAGATAAATAAAATACCCTACAGTTTATCCATATCCATGTTCCTCTACACTAAATATTCATCTTTGATTAGTTATTTTTAACTATATTTGATTTCTTTATAAATTACCTTTTGAAACTTTAAACACATAAAGACATTGTTTCCCCTTAAAAGATTTTTCTTTTCCTTTCTTTTGTTTTTTTTAATCTAAAACTTACTTTCAAAAACAATGACTTTCATAAACTTGCAACTTGTTAAATATAGTATTTTTATTAACATTCTAGTTTGTAACACAAGGCAAAACCTAAACACTTACCATTTATAAATAATGGGTAATACTGTTTCAACTTAACCTTGAGAATGTAGAAAAAAAATTGAGTCCAGTCTGATAGCAACCAAAAGATCTCAGAAACAGTAATCTTAGTGCTCGCCTGGCAGACACAATCTGCACAGAACTTAATCAAAATAAGGTTAAAAGTCCATAGCAATTTCCTTGAGTGGCCAGTCAGATATCCCCCATTACAGTCACCAACCAGCCTGCCCCTGGGGCCTATTTCAGAAATAAATTGGTTTGTAGATGAGCTGATGCAGAAGAAGGAAAAAAAAATGTTTTCTTGAGACTGTACCTAAATCTTATCAAGTAATACAGGGAAGCTTCAAAGTCTTTTTATTCTGAAATGTTATTTTATTCTGCTTTATATCATCTTAAATTTATTAGTATTATATTAAATATTAGTTTATGTAAGCTTATTATTTGACTCTGTATAGGATATAATAGATGGCATTGAATATTTAATAAGATAGCAACAGCAATAACACCTGGGAAATTGTTCAGGGAAGGATTCTATTCAGTTATTAAAAGATTTGCATACTTATTTCACTAATATTACTAGCAATCACAAGCATTGGGTAATGCTAGACAAATCTGCAAGAGGTACCGTTATTCCAGCACCTTAAAAACATTTTTCAATCTGAAAGATACTTCTAGATGTTTTTTTCCATAACAGAGCAGATGATTTCTAAGTGTTTGTATCACTGAAACTTCACAGTATTAGTGGAATATGTTATCCTTTATACCAAAAGTAATCAGATTATTTTATAAAGCAATTATCAATTAAAAGTAGATTACTAAGAACATACTGTATAAAATGCCTTATGGGCTATTAATTCTGCATGCATTGCCACATTTGATTGTCTCAAAAAACCTCCTGAAATATGTATTCTTAACACACTTTTATTGAGAACATTATGAGTAATAAAAGTTGAAAGATTTTCCCAAAGATGTACAAGTAAAACAGGTCCTCAAATAAAGTTGTTTTATTCAATGTTGTTTTGCTATAATGTAGATGAGAATAAATATTGATTCCTGGACAGGGCTACCATCTGTGTAGGGTCTGCATGTTCTCCCCATGCCTGCATGGGTTTTCTCCAGGAACTCCTGCTTCCTCTCACATCCCCAAGATGTGCATGTCTGGTTAATTGGCATTTCCCCACTGTGTGTCCCAATGTGAGTGAATGTGGTTGTGCCCTGCCATGGAATAGCATCCTGTGCAGGGTTTATTCCTGCATTGCATGCTGAGTAAGAATAGGTTCTTGCCACCCGAGACTCTGAACTGGAATAATTGGGTAAATAATCATCTTACTTGTTTTTATTAATCTTTTTAAAAATGTATGTATACCTCACACTTATTTCAGTGTTGAATGTTATAAGTGTTTTAGTCTCCATTTAGAAGTACAGTGATAATATTGTGACCAGAAATATGCAGTAGGAACTTATATCTTGTTGTATCAATTGGCCTATGGTAAAATTTGTTTCATTGTTCACCATTTTGCTGATAGTTGCAGTTTCCAATAATCTACTGATATTAAATGTGGACTTACTATGTAAACAATAGCAAGGATCCTAAATCCTAGGTCATATCTAAGTTTAAATGGCTTGACACCAAGTCAGAATTGCCTTATGACCATGCTCTTATAAGTGTTTCATTTTTTAAAACAGTGCAAACTGAATTTTGCATGAGAATTATCATTAAAAAAATTTTTGTTACAGATAGGATCTTGCTATGTTGCCCAGGTTGACCTTCAAGTTCTGGGTTCAAATGATCCTCTTGCCTCAGCATCCAGTGTACCTGGGACTACAACTGTGTGCCACCATACCCAGGGCTGCAGGAAAAGTTGTGATTTCATAAAGCAGTGATTTATGAAAATAAGACTTTATTTGGGCAACATAGAAAACGTAAACAAAAAGAGTTGCTCAACATAAAACTTACTCAAGTCACAATTTACCTCTGACATGACATATTTCCATCCACTTCAGAAAAAAAAGTGTATACCTTTTTATTTCTTTTTTTTTTCCTTTTTTTTTTTTTAGACGGGCTGGAGTGCAGTCACAGTTCACTGCACCTTTGAGCTCCTGGGCTAAAGTAATCTTCCTTTCTCAGCCTCCTGAGTAGTTAGAACTAAGACATGCACCACCATGTCTGGCTAATTTTTAACACTTTTTTGTGGAGATGGAGTCTCGCTATGTTGCCCAGGCTGGTCTTGAACTTCTGGCCACATGCTATCCTCTCACCTCGACCCCCCAAAGTACTTGGATTATCGGCTCAAGTACTTAGATGTATTAACCAGGATCACAGAGAGCTTGATTTTGTAAGTTTGAGTCAGCATGTAATAACTGCAGTTGATTTTGATGCATGTATTTAATGAGAATCATTGCTTTAGACTATATGATATTTAAAACAAAAGAGCAATAGGACTGCATGGCACAATATAAAGTCTGTTATGACATAGTGACTTTAATATATTTTAATTAAAATTATAATAGTAAAAGCTAAAAATGACAAGACAATTGTTAGAAATCATATCACGACAGCATAATCATGTATCCACAAGTGATTGATACAATAACATGAACTGACTTTTTGCTGCAATATTAATCAGTTAATACAGGTTTTTAGGTTTCAGTTAACTGGTTAATCATAAAATATTATATAAAATATTATCAAATTGTGTAAGTCATCTCACTGTATTCTAAAATTTATGTTATTTTATATTTCTAATCTATGTTTTGCAGAGATCATGAAAATTTTACTGGGTAACTGAAGAAGAATTGTCCCAAGGACTTGAATAAATGTTAATGTTCATAACAGTATGTTCTAAAAAGAAATTTAAGTAAAAAAGGAAAAAACATATTTCATTTTAAAAATATCTACCCATGCACATCATTCATCTAAAAAACCCATTTAATATAATCATCTAGTTATGTAAAGATATACCCAATAGCTACTTAAAATAGAAATATTCTATTTCATTATTAGAAATTATTATTTTAAAAGGTTGTTAAAACATCAAAAATATGCTTATTTCTAGTAACCAGAGAACACAGCAGGGTTATGAAACTTTGGATTCCTGTTTGATTTGGCAGGTAACTAGATTAACAAAAATACAAGGTTTTGAGTTTCAAAACAGAATAGCATATTTAAAAAATACTTGGTGGGTGTCTGGCAATTGAGAGACCTTAGTAGCACAATCATTGGTCTTCACAATCACTGCCAGGTACTCTTTCAAACTAGCTTGAATAACTGCAAAACACATTATCAACCCAGCTTCTTTTTGCTGGACCTGGGCATATATAAACTGATTAGATTTAAAAATAAAAAAGAGTTTTTTCAGTTGTGTTTGAAGAGGTGAATCCTTGGACTCAAAATCTCTCAAAAGTCCTGTCTTTCACTTCAGAATCTGCATTAATTTGCACAGGAATATACTTCTGTGTTTTAATAAACACATGCAATTTTTCTGTTTTCATCTTGCAAGTAATGACAGCTTTGTTCTCAAACCAATTTTGTTTTTTGTAGATTTTACCCTGATATATAATGAAGAGACAGTTGCATGATCTGTGTAGAAATTCTTCCTCTAAACTAAATTATACTACCTTAGAAATCTGACATGAAAGTACCAAAACTATGTAAATTGACCTCACCAAGAAAATTATTACATAAAACAGTGATTCATGGAAATAAGACTTGATTTGGGCAACATAGAAAGTATTAAAACTAAAAAGGAGTTGCTTGAGATAAAATTTACCCAAGTGACAATTTTACCTGTGACAAACATATTTCCATCCACTGCAGAAACAAATGTGTTTAGTTTATTAAAGTATATGTTTAACAGCAAAAAATAAATAGAATAAATTTATTATCCCTATCCAGTGATAAACACAATTTTAAAATAAAAATGAAAACATCCTGCTTATATTTGCTATACTATTTCATGCATTAGGCTAAGATATATGGTTATTTCCATGCTTTCAGGATGTGTTTAACAAATCTCTTATACATTTTCCTATTGTTGTCATTTTAATATCTTGAATATAATATTAAATAAACATTTCTACAAATAATTTGAACCTCAAAGTTTCATAAACATCTATCCTTCAATATTTAGGCCTAAAAAGTAATCTCCATTATCTATCAAATTCTAAATTTGAACTTACTATGGTTTACTCCTACTTTTTAATTATTACTTTGGTTAAAGATACTTCATGATATTATTAAGTTCCTTACTAATAATGTATATGGTTGTATTACATTCATTTATCCATCAAGACTAACTTTGAGCTACTATGAAATATAATTCAAATCAT
The DNA here is from genome assembly GCF_000001405.40 of Homo sapiens. NCBI lineage: Eukaryota > Metazoa > Chordata > Mammalia > Primates > Hominidae > Homo > Homo sapiens. Next base: position 40,074,426 of record NC_000009.12, read on the forward strand.
TCACATAATATCTAATGAATGATTACTATAATACAAAGCACTATACTAGGTTTCATAAGTGATACAAAAACAAGTGCAACCGCCTCAGTAACCAACACATTTGCAGTCTAATAGAGGAAAACAAGCCCTGTTATAAGAATAATTATAGTAAAAGGCTATATAAAATACAATCCATTTTGAGACACACCTTCAACTCTATTTGCTAATTCTCATTTTCACTCTTTAGTTTATTTTTAGATTAAATAGTTATTTTCACAAATCAGTCTGAGGACAGAGTTTTTTGTTTTGTTTTGTTTTGTTTTGTTTTGTTTTGTTTTGTTTTTGTGAGTCATCAGCACTATGCAATTGCATATACCTGTTGTGTTTAGTCTACAAAGGCTGAACATCATGTAATAGTTTTTATGCATTTTGTTCATAGGTTACTGGGTGCTTTAAGGCAAAACTGAATGAGTTTCCAATAGTCAGTACAAAACTACAAGAAATACAGGCACAAAGTGCCTGGGGTTATCCTCAGATGAAGTTAGATTTGAATTGCATTCAATAACCTTTTTTACAATGTGTAGATGCTCAAAGCAAATACAATAGTTTCTCTTTGCCTCTGTGACTTGAGTTCATAGTGTTGTGTTTAAATATAACTTTTGTAATGTCTACTTCACTGAAGAAACTTTTAAAAAATTTGACTTATAATGGTTTTCTGTAATAACCTATGGTGCTTGGTTTGTAAAGTAAAACAGGAACTCAATTTAGTACCTACTGAATAATAACATTTTTTAACTGAGATTCCACTCATAAGGCACCTAAATTTTTAAAGTTAAAACATATTATATTGACATTAAATTTAAAAAGAATAAACAAGTTAGAGAAGAAATAAAAAAAAATCTTCAGAGAATAAACTGCTTCCAAGTACACAAGTACTAAAGAGGCTACACACTGGTATGCTCATTATAAATAAAAACATTCATTCATGTAATTTTATCTCATTACTACATATTTAAAATAATCTCTTATCATTATAGTAGGCCATCATTTTCCAAATAGCATCAAGAATCCTTATTTTGAAATAGTAATCAGATCATGTAGTTCTCCTGATCAGATCTCTTCACACTCTAGAATAAGATGCATACCTTCATTTTAGCTTTTAGACTTTTTTTCTGATCTAGCTCTAGATTATTGTTTGATCTCATTTTTACTATTCTTCTCATTGCTCATTCAATTCAATTTCAAGCATAATGATTTTTTGCTCTTTTTGGAATACACTAGCTTTTTGATTTCATTAGAGCCTGTACACTTCCCTCTTCCTGAAATGTTCTTCCCCAAATTTATGTATAGCTTATTTTCTCTCTTTGTTCAGGGCTCAGTGTAATTGTAGATTGTTCTCTACCTTGAATATGTCTTACCCCTCATTTGACTGGTTTTCCTTCATACCAATTATTTGTATTCTAAAATATTTTATATTTTTCTGTTGACTTGTTCACTGAGTTCCTTCCTCTAAAATGTAGCTTCATGAGGTCAATATTTTGTTAAAATTGTATGCTACTGTATCACTAGAACTGAGAACAATGCCTGAACAGAGTAGCTACTCATGACTCATTGGCTAAAACAAGTTAATGAATGAGAACAGGCAGGTAGAAAGCCAGGAAGGAAAAGAGGATATTATATTAAGTTGAATGAGGGATTAAATGAATATAAATAAGCTGAAAGTAGCATAGGTTATGCAATATGCTTAACAAAGTATGTTTGTCTATTTTCGTTATGTAATCCAAAACCTGGCCGACCACAAAACTTGCTTTTTATTCACTTTCTCTTTCTTCCCTGTTTAGTGCAGCATAAAATTAGTTATCGATTTTATCTCTTAATGCTCCACCTCTATTAGTGAAAGGATCTTCTCTTATCATATTTCCAGTCCAAAGTTCAGTGGAAACTTTTTACACTCTTACAGTCTATTTGAAATCCTTATATCATAAACATACCAGCACTTATCCCAGCACTATTCACAGTAGCAAAGATACTGAATCAACCTAAGTGTCCACCAATAGATGATTTGATAAAGAAAATGTGAGATGGTACCATCTCACTCCAGTTAGAATGGAGATCACTAAAAAGTCAGAAAACAACAGATACTGGAGAGAATGTGGAGCAATAGGAATGCTTTTACACTGTTGGTGGGAGTGTAAATTAGTTTAACCATTGTGGAAGACAGTGTGGAAATTTTTCAGGGATCTAGAACTAGAAAGACCTTTTGACCCAGCAATCCCATTACTGGGTATATACCCAAAGGATTATAAATCATCCTACTCTGAAGACACATGCACACATATGTTTATTGCAGCACTGTTCACAATAGCAAAGACTTGGAACCAACCCAAATGCCCACCAACGATAGACTGGATAAAGAAAATGTGGCACATATGCATCATGGAATACTATGCAGCCATAAAAAATGATGAGTTCATGTCCTTTGCAGGGACATGAATGAAACTGGCAAACATCATTCTCAGCAAGCTAACACAAGAACAGAAAACCAAACACTGCATGCTCTCACTCATAAGTGGGAGCTGAACAATGAGAATACATGGACACAAGGAGGGGAACATCACACTCCACAGCCTGTCAGAGGGTGAGGGGCTAGGGGAGGGATAGCATTTAGAGAAAGACCTAATGTAGATGACAGGTTGATGAGTGCAGCAAACCACTATGGCACGTGTATACCTACATAACAAACCTGCAAGTTCTGCACATGTACCCCAGAACTTAAAGTATAATAAAAAAGATTTCCACCTAAAGATAAGAAGATATGATGATATACACAGTGGAATACAATTCAGCCTTTAAAAATAATATACTCATGAAACATGTATTTTGGAGCAGTTTGGATGGAACTGGAGGACATTATCTTAGATGAAAGTCAGACACAGAAAGACAGATACTGCATGTTCTCATTTATCAATGGGAGGTAATTAATGCATTCACATGGACATAGAGTGTGCAATGATAGAGACTTGGACATGAAGACTTGGAAGAGTTGGGGGAGAGTGAGAGGGGAGTAAATGATAAGAAATTACTTAATAAGTACAAGGTATGCTTTTTAGGTGATGAATATGCTGAACATCCTGACTTCACTATGCAACCTATGGATGTAACAAAATTACAGTTGCACTCCATAAATTTATAGAAATAAAATAAAATAAATTACATTTTAATAGAGACACTATCAGAGAAATACACCGAAATGACTGGACTGAATTGGAAATGGAAAATGTAGAAATCTCATTTTCTCTTCAGAGACTATTGCAAATTTGTATGTATGTAATACACTAATCACATCAGATGCCAGTTTTAAGAACATATTTTCCTCCACTGTGTAGATTTGTTTCAATACGGAAAAATTTCAGAACATACGTAATCAATACAAAGCCATTCTCAGTAATTTATTTTCATTCCATGCCATGTTACTTAGGTTTACATTTACTACCTTAGAAAACATTATGTACAAAAGCTTTTCTTTCTTATAGTGAATTAAATCTCCAACTGCTTTTGTTTCTATTTTAAGAAAGTAAATATTATGACATAAATGTTTGCAATGTTTTTGTTTAAATAAAGTATTTCTAGATTTCTCTTAATTCATAGTTACGTTTGTTTCTTTATTGATGTTCAAACACAGACTTTTAAAAATTCATATTTTTTTCAAAATGTGTAACTATTTACTTTCTAGTTCAATTTAAAAAGCATTTACCATAAAAATGGCAGTATCTTTTTGTACAGATGCTACCTCTGAATCAAAGCCTCTCAGCAACTGGCAAACAGGAAGCTCTAATGCACTTTAACCCTAATAGTTATAAAATATGCAATCATCTGAAATCACATACTGATTTCCACTTCTTTTCTAACTACGGTTATATGTAAATATTTCACTTTCAATAATAGATCTTTGCCTGTTTATTTAGTTTTTTTTTTTCCTTGGCTTAGAAATAGTTTTTATGAAATATTCAAATACAAACATAGTCTCTAAAAGCAAAGTATGGTTCTTTGACAGCCAAAACACTTTCCCCTAAGCATTTCATTAGTTATATAAGTGATAAATGTTTTTCTGAATGGGAATTTACCTAAAGTGTTTCAAAATTAGGTGACCATTTGTGCTTTCCAAACCATACAGAACTTTATATTTATTCCTGGGTAAATCACCCATTTCCTTGTTCATCAAGATCAGGTGAAATGATATCCATGTGAGATAATTAATTCCTCTGCTATCTATTTTATTATACTTAGTTATTCATCTAAAATAAATATCTACTATAACAAGTAAAATATATAATAGTGTAGAAGACAACAAGAGTATGTGTTTGCAGTATGTGTAATAGAGTTAAATATATCTAAATATAGTATATCTGTACTAAGGCAATGAACATCAATTGTAGCTAATCACCCTCATTAAAGCAAAGGGCACTACCATATGTGACATAGTTGTCATTGACAGCCTGTTAAATCTTGTAGCTGAGGTAACGGACAGGGAAGAGTTTGTGATAGTGAAATTTGTAGAACTAAGATCAAATTACCAAACACGTAGGCATTATTAAACAAATTCTCACCAATTACTTCAAAAATATTGTAACTTCTATTTAATATTTCTTGTTTTTAATCTTAAAAACTCTAAATTGAGTAGAATTTGAAATAGCAGTAAATTTCAGGTTAATGGAAATACAATCACACTTGTTATTATTGTTCAATTTTTTTTATTAAGTCTGAAGAAATATTTACTTGAATATGACATCTAAGAATGATGGACAAAAGCTTTTTAAATTTTCTTTCCACTCCTTTTTCTGAAAGCTTTGATACAAAAATCATTTGACACAAATGGTTTTTTTTTTGTGTGACAGGATCTTACTATGTTGCCCAGGCTGAAGTGCAGTGTGCTCATGCAATCCTCCCATCTCAGCCTCCTGAGTAACTGGGACTACAGGCACATGCCGCCATGCCCAGCTAATTTTTGTATCTTTAGTAGAAACAAGGTTTTGCCACATTGCCCAGGCTGGTCTCCAACTCGTGGGCTGAAGTGATCTGCCCACCTTGGCCTCCCAGTGTTCTGGGATTACAGGAGTGAGCCACTGTACCCGGCTGATGCAAATGATTTCTATTATTAATATCTTGCAGTTATTCTTCCATTGGATAACCATCAATGTCAAAATAAAGATTATTAGTTACTGAAGGACTGAAAAATCAAAAATCAACTTCATGAGATGCTTTACAAACAAGTGTTCTCTTTTAATATTTGACTCAGTAAAAGTTTTTAAGAAAAGTTAAGTTTGTGTTTTTATTTGTGTATACTCTCTAGTGCTTAAATGTATCAGGATAGAACTTTTCTAAACTAGGTCAGTCTTTTTTCCATATCTATGGTTGAATACTTCAGTTAAATAAAGCAATGGTAGATAGCAAACTATGTTATAATTGGCATTTTGGGCACTTGTTGCAATTAATTGCCAAAAAAAGCATATCTCACCACAATTGATCTCTCGTTTTTCCACTCTCATTTATTTCCCTTCACTTTCTTCTTGGCTTCTGCAAAAGCATTTGTTTTTCCTTTTTCTTTCTTCTTTAAAAAAATATATTTGAAGAGATTTATTCTAAGCCAAATATGAGTAACCATGGCCAGTGACACAGCACTCAGGAGGTCCTGAGAACATGTGCCCAAGGTGGTTGGGATGCAGCTTGCTTTTATACATTTTAGAGAGGCATGAGACATCAATTAACTACACTTAAGAAATACATCAGTTTGATCCAGAAAGGTGGGACAACTCAAAGCAGAGGGAGTGGGGGTGGGAGGGGTTGGGGCTGGCAGGGGGGTTGGGGGATGGGAGGGTATTGGGGTTTGGGGGTTGGTTCCAGGCTATAGGTGAATTTAAACATTTTCTGGTTGATAATTGGTTGAGTTTGATTCAAGACCTGGGAATGATAGAAAGGGAATGTTCAGGTTAAGATAAAAGACTGTGGAGACCAAGGTTCTTTTGAAGTCTTACAGTGGCTGCCCTTAGAGACAATAAATGACAAGTGTTTCCTATTCAGATCTTTAAAAGGTACTAGACTTTTAGTTAATCTCTTTAGAACTGCGAGGGCCATTTTTTCATATTATAATTTATCTCCTTCATGTCTGTAACAAAGATAGGAATCGCTATAAAGTGTCTTCCCAGTTTCTGCCTAACCACATCCCTGGATTTCCTGGCTCCTGGCTTGGCATATGTTTGGGGTTAGCCTTCTCCCACTGCTAATTTGTATGCCATAAGATGGTTGTTTTGTTCCTCAGTACATTTATGTCAGATATAATTGTTACTGTAGTAAACAACTATTGTGTAAAAAAATGATAAGTGAGTGTGAAAGTAAAAAAAACAAATCAGAAAATGAAGCAGAATGTAAATAATTGATAAAGACAAGTTCTGAAAAAATATCAAATTGGATTGAGGAGTCAGACACCTGTAAGAGGTTTATTTGAGGGGCTAAGCGTGCTGGTATTTACACACATATTACTTCTTGTGTCTCTTCAATTTATTGGTTCATTTCAAAAAACCAAAGCTAAAAATCATAAAATATTCATTAGGTAAAAAGAAACAAAGTTCAATGAATCCATACATACATACCAAAGACCTTTGTCGGATAGTTGACAAGTATATTTGCATATATGTTTTCCAAGGTAAAAGAAAATTTGTGGCTGGGCACGGCAACTCATGCCTGCAATCCCAGCATTTCGGGAGGCCAAGGCCGGTGGATCAGCTGAAGTCAGGCATCCAAGACCAGCCTGGCCAACACGGTGAAACCCCATCTCTGCTAAAAATACAAAAAAATAGCTGGGCATGGTGGCTGGCACCTGTAATCCCAGCTACTTGGGAGGCCGAGGCAGGAGAATTGCTTGAACCCGGGAGGCAGAGTTTGCAGTAAGCTGAGATCAAGCCACTGCACTACAGCCTGGGCAACAAGAGTGAAACTCTGTCTCAAAAAAAAAAAAAAAAAAAAAAAAAAAAGAAAGAAAAAGAAAAAAGAAAATTTGTAGGATATGGATAAGTAATTTATTTTAGAAGAATTTTTTTTTTGTAGAATGATTTGTGCTAAAGCAATACATCTCTTTCTATCATATACTGATATCTTGAAAACTTTTATAACGTTTCTTGTCACATTCAGTATTTTAAAAATAGGATTGATTCTAAGTTTTGAGTTTATGGTGTATTTGAATATTAGAGATATTATCTCTTATACATTTCAAAGCTTTGCTGCATTCTAAACTCAGTCCTGCCTTAGCCTTAGTAATGGCAATGAAGTGCGGGGATAGAATGTTCACTATTTTTTTATGTGCTGTTAAAATTTCATACCTCCTGTTCTATCTTGAAGTCTTACAGTTTTGGAATGGTGAGTGGGGGAAACAAGCATAAAACTATTACATAATTCATGCAGTTTTCACTGGGCAACAGTATCCTCTGAATGGTGAAATGGCTACTTTTCATTTATTTATTTTTTTCTCTCCTGGGGTAAAACGCTTGAAAACTGCACCACTGGGAAATTGCAGCTATAGTCCATGTTTCAACATAGTCCATGCTTCTTTGAGTTGGCCACTTACTGTTTACTCTCATCTCCTTAGGTTTAGCAGTAAAGACCTGTAAGATTTCTTCTGTTAGGATCATCTAGCCATTCCAAACATTTCTCTTAGATTTGATTCTTTCAAGACAAATCAACCCAATAAAAATCTCATAAATAAAGGTGAGCTAGCTACCACATTTGGTGTACTCATCTGACCAAACCAAATTTTATGTATACATTCAATTCTCAATCCAACCCAGTCTGTTTGCCTAAGCCATTCCAGACAAACTTCCACTTTGAAGGTTTTAAATGCATAAGTCAGATAGCAATCCTTCAGTTGCCCCAGAGGCACATCACGTTCTTTGAATGCTTCAGTATAGTCCTCTTCATTTAGCAATCAGTGAGGCAATACACTGGCATCATGATCCCTTTTTTTAGGAACTCTGTACAAAATTCCCTTTGAAAATATAAATTTTGGAAATGAGTGATGAGCAAAGGGGTTTCATTAACATTATCACAATCTCTTGATATATCTGCTTGATAATGTAGCACCTATTATTTGGGGCCATTAGGACCTTGGCAGAAATTCTGGTAAATGTAAAGAAACCACATTTAACATCCAGTTAATTTAGTTTGTTTGTTTGTTTTGTTTTTGTTTTTGTTTTTGAGACGTTGTCTTACTCTGTCACCCAGGCTAGAGTGCGGTGGTGTGATCTCGACTCACTGCAACCTCCACCTCCACCTTCTGGGTTCAAGCAATTATCTTCCTCAGCCTGGGATTACAGGAACCCACCACCATGCCCACCTAATTTTGTATTTTTAGTAAAGACGGGGTTTCACTGTCTTGGTCAGGCTAGTCTTGAATGCCTGACCTCGTGATCCACCTGCCTCGACCTCCCAAAGTGCTGGAACTACAGGCATGAGCCACCTTGCCTGGCCTCAATATTGTTTTTAATAATTTCTGCTTTACTTGCAGTTAATCATATCAGGCCGTCTACCATACCCAGTTGTGTCAGCAAGAAGATCTGTACAATGATAAGTAACACATGGCTCCCAGGGCTAACATATTCCTAACACTTATATAAACACTTTTTCAGAAATTTGACAATATTTTATAATTAAACAATATCTTATTTTACAAGAAAAGATATGGTATCACAATACTCTGAGCAAAGAGTTAATTTGCTTCTCAAATTTCCTAGATAATGAAGTAGTCCTAAAATATTTAACTCAGTATTGGTAATAGTTTCAATTTGAGGAAGTGTTCTGAATAGCCTTTTTAATGCTGATGTCATAAGATTGTGTTACAAACACAGACTTTCATTTAAAGACACTTTATGTTTAATTTTGTTCTAAAAAATAAAATTATATATAAATACACATGTATCCTAAACTATATATGTATAATATACATATATGTATATATATACACAGAGAGAGAGAGAGAGAGAGAGAGAGAGAAGGAGAGAGAAACAGAGACAAAGAAAGCCATAAATCCTGAATTTGTTGTTGTCAATGGTGTTTGATAGCATCACTTTGTAACTCAATAGGATGTATCTGCACAAAGCTAAAATTAATTTATTTTTGCCATACAAGGCAAGTGTATCTTGTTGACATCTATAGAGAAAATAAATCACCCTCTAAAGAACTGTTTATAAATAAATAATTGATATCTGAAAATTCAGAAAAAGTACCACTATCATTTTACTTACCATATTGCATTGAAATTATATGTTTATGCTTCTCTTGCTTCTACCTCTCTGTGAATTCAAGGTTAGAAAAGGAGAAATTTTTATCTTAGCATTCCCAGGACCAATCACAATATCTAATACTTAGAGCGTGCAATGTTGGTTGAACTGAAATAAATCTGATATAAAAACAAATAATGCTTTAGGGAAGTGATTTTTCATTTGAGATTATTTTCTCAGAAAAATTAATATGACCAGGTTTTCATCCTATGCAAACATTAGTATGCCTTATTGATTTTTCACTAAGTTATATAGCTTATATTATAAGACTTTTTTATGGGTGTCTCTACCTACAGATTCCAGGCACTAACAAACCTGTAGAAATTCATAAATTTAATGCATTTTATCAAGTTGATTAATATAGCATGAACATTTTTGAACTGGCTTCACAAATCATTTATTGTTAAATGTTATTCTTATACCTGTATTAGAGAGAAAAAAGCCAGAGGTGGCAAGGTGATATACAGATCAACTGGAAATCCACAAGTTTTGGTTTGGAACTCTTTGGAAAATTGAATAAAGAGTCACACCTTGCTCAAAACTGAATTAGTAAAAGCGATGCACATATCAATAAACAAACTTCTCTAATAAAAAAAAGCATTAAAAATATAGTCAGCATATATTTTTCTGGAATATAAAATTGAGGAACTAGAATAATTCAACTTGAATAAGTGTAACTAATTCATTTTCTGCAAAATATTACCCACAGTTTGAGTATTTTTCTATTTATTCTATCGGAAAAAAATGATATACCACTGTACTGGAAATATTCAGAAAAGTTTGTCTATTTTTTAAAATTGTACTTATTATACCTTTATAACCGTGAGATAATATATTTATTATTTGAATGAGAATTAAATGTTTATGATTTATACAAAAATGCCTGACACAGACTACTATGCCCACAAAAGTTGAATGGTTGTTTTTAGCTTATATATACCTATACAGGTTAATAGATATATCTTTACTTCTTTTTTCTTTTTTTTTGAGACGGAGTCTCACTCTGCAGCCCAGGTTGGAGTGCAGTGACATGATCTCGGCTCACTGCAAGCTCTGCCTCCCAAGTTCACGCTGTCCTCCTACCTCAGCCTCCTGAATAGCTGGGACAACAGGTGCCCGCCACCACGCCCGTCTTATTTTTTGTATTTTTAGTAGCGATAGGGTTTCACCGTGTTAGCCAGGATGGTCTCAATCTCTTGACATTGTGATCCGCCTGCCGCAGCCTCCCAAAGTGCTGGGATTATAGGCGCGAGCCACCGCACCCGGCCAATATATCTTTACTTCTTATAAGAAATGAGTAACTTTATTAATTCTACCAACAGATAACATTCTTCCTCTCAGAGATTAATATGCAATCATTTCCTAACCTTATTTTATTGCGCTATATTTTAAATATAATAAACGTGTCAAAAATGTGGTTTCATACTTTTTATAAATTGATATATTTAGCTAATTACACTAAATCTAGAAAATACTATTGTGCTTATTCAAACTTCTCTTCTCTTCTTCAGAGGCAAACCTGTATAATTTCTTTGGTTTGTTTGTTTGTTTTAAGACGTAGTCTTACTCTGTTACCCAGGCTAGAGTGCAGTGGTACAATGTGAGGTCACTGCAACCTCCGCCTCCCGGGTTCAAGCGATTCTCCGGCTTCAGCATCCCAAATAACTCAGATTAAACCCTTATAATTTCTATCATGATTGATTAATTTTGTTCATCTTCAAATTCCAATAATTAGAATTCCTACAGGATGTGTGTGTGAGTGTGTATCTGGTTTATTTTCTTTAGCATAAATAAATATTTGAGATTTAGCCAAATATTTGTGTGTATCATTTTTTTATTTTTCCTCATATTTCTGAGTTGCCTACGTATTTGTCAGAGTTTGCTTATTCATTAGTCTGTTAGTGAATATTCAGATTGCTTTCAGAATTAGCTTTTACAAATAAAGGACTTAGGTGCATTCTCAAACAGGTTTTTGTGTAAATATATGCTTTTATTTTTGTTGGATAAATTTCTAGAATTGAAATTGCTGTGCTATAGGGTAGATGTATGTTGGCCTTATTGAGAAGCGAATTATTTTTCAAAGCGGTTGTTCCACTTTTTTTTTTTTTGAGACACAGTCTTGCGCTGCCGTCTGGGCTGGAGTGCACTGGCGTGATCTGGGCTCACCGCAAGCTCCACTTCTCAGGTTCACGCCATTCTCCTGCCTCAGCTTCCTGATTAGTTGGGACTACAGGCGCCCGCCACCATACCCGGCTAATTTTTTTTTTTTTTTTTTGTATTTTTAGTAGAGACGGGGTTTCACCATGTTAGCCAGGATAGTCTCGATCTCATGACCCCGTGATCCGCCCGCCTCGGCCCCCCAAAGTGCTGGGATTACAGGCATGAGCCACCGCGCCCAGCCAGTTGTTCTATTTTACACTCTCACAAGAAATAGACACGACTTCTAGTTTCCCCACATATTTGCCAATATTAGTATTATCATTTTAAATGGTAGTCTTTCCAGTTTCGATGCATTTTGGTTGCATTTCCCCTTATCTAATAACACTGAGCATCTTTTCACATTCTTATAAGCCACTTGTATCTCTTGTTTTGTGAAATACCTGTTCAAGATTCTTATAACTATTTAGTGGATCTCAGGAGTACTCTGTGCGTTTTGAACACGCAATTTTTTTCTCATACATTTATCACAGTCTATGGCTTAAAATTATATTTTCTTACATTTTGCAGTTTTATTAGGATACATTTTTAATTAATATCTACAATTTATCAATTTTTACTCTTATGATAGTGCTTTCTCTGTTCAGAAATATTTTTCCTATTATAATAGCTCGCAGATATTGTTTAATTTTTTTCTTTTAAAAGCTTTCTGAATTTTGCTTTTTCATTTTTATGCCTACATTAAAAATATTGGACTAGTTTTGTGTATACAAAGGACTGATGCATGTATTTTTTTAATATGAGAATGCATTTATTTCAAAAGCCTTTGTTAAAGACTTACTTTCCCCACTGAATTATCTACATGCCCTTATAAACATTTAATTTACTGCATAGGTGGAGGTCTAATTTTGAACCCTTCTTTATCCTTATTATTTTTGTGTTATGATGCTTTGATACTGCAGCTTTCTTAGATGTCTGAAAATTGGCTCTATTTTTTTCTCAAAATTCTAGGTCCTGTGAATTTTCCAAACAAATTTTGGAAACAGCTTGTGAATTTCTCTCAAAATGTTTGCCACAATTTACTACAGAGTTGTAGTAAATAGATATAGAATTCATTGTAGTCAATAAACTACAAACTATAGATTGCATTGATGCTTTTTTTTTTTTTTTTTTTTGAGACAGAATCTCACCTTGTCACCCAGGTTGGAGTGCAGTGGCACAATCTTGGCTCACTGCAACCTCAGCCTCCCAGATTCAAGCAATTATCCTGCCTCAGCCTCCTGAGTAGCTGGGACTACAGGCCCGTGCCACCATGCCTGGCTAATTTTTTTGTATTTTTTTTTTTTAGTAGAGACAGGGTTTTATCGTGTTAGCCAGTATAGTCTTGATCTCCTGACCTTGTGATCCGCCCACCTTGGCCTCCCAAAGTGCTGGGATTACAGGCATGAGCAACCGCGCCCAGCCGCTACTGCATTGATTCTAAAGATTAACTTCCAGAGAATTCACATCAATGTTGCATCTTCAAATCTATGAACATGGTAGATCTTTACATTTATTTAAGTCTTCTGTAATGTTTCTCTACAAGAAATTTTAAAAAGTTTTAGTGTGAAAGATTTTTAAAGGTTTCACTTAAATTATTCTTAACTATTTTTATACCATTAAAATTTTACTTTTAAATGTATTCTCAATTGTTTATTTCTAGTATTTAGAAATTCCATTAATTTTCCATATTATATTTTGTGTATTGACCTTGCATTCTACACATTCTGCACCATTATTGAATTTGATTCTTATTATTCACAGCTTTTTAAATAAATATATTAGGATTTTCTTCATATACAATATACATATATATGTTCTGTGAATAAAAATATTTTTTCTTTTCACTTTTCAATTTTTATGCTTTTCATTTCTTAACCCCATGCAAGTCCGAAATCCAGAGGGGCAGCCAAATCTTAAAGCTCCAAAATGATCTCCTTTGACTCCATGTCTCACATCCTGATCATGCAGATGCAAGAGGTGGGTTCCCATGGTATTGGGCAGCTCTGCCCCTGTGGCTTTGCGGGATATAGCCTGCCTTCTGGCTGCTTTTGTGGGCTGGTGTTGAGTGTCTGTGGCTTTCCCAGGCACATGGTGTTGTTGGTGGATCTAACATTCTGAGGTCTGGAGGATGGTGGCCCTCTTCCCACAGGTCCACCAGGCGGTGCCCCAGTAGGGACTCTGTGTGGGGGCTCCCACCCAACATTTCCCTTCCTCACTGCCCTAGCAGAGGTTATCAATGAGGGCCCCATCTCTGCAGCAAACTTTTGCATGGGCATCCAGGTGTTTCCATATATCTTCTGAAATCTAAGCAGATGTTCCCAAACCTCAATTCTTGATTTCTGTGCATCCACAGGCTCAACACCACGTGGAAGCTGCCAAGGCTTGGGGCTTCCACCCTATGAAGCAACAGCTCAAGCTATACTTTGGTCCCTTTTAGTCACAGCTGGAGTGGCTGGGATGCAGGGCACCAACACCCTACACTGCACACAGCATGGGGACCCTGGGCCCAGCAAAACCATTTTATTCTAGGCCTCTGAGACTGTGATGGGAAGGGCTGCTGTGAAGACTTCTGACATGCCCAGGAGACATTTTCACCATTGTCTTGGGGATTGACATTCAGTTCCTCGTTACTTATGCAAATTTCTGCAGCCAGCTTAAATTTCTCCTCAGAAAACGGGTTTTTCTCTTCTATCACATTGTCAGGCTGCAAATTTTCTGAACTTTTATGCTCTGCTTGCCTTATAAAATGAATGCCTTTAAAAGCACCCAAGTCACTTCTTCAACGCTTTGCTGTTTAGAAATTTCTTCTGTCAGATACCCTAATTCTTCTGTCAAGTTCTAAGTTTCACTAATCTTTAGGGCACGGGCAAAATGCTGCCAGTCTCTTTGCTAAAACATAACAAGAGTCAACTTTGCTCTAGTTTCTAACAAGTTCCTCAACTCCATCTGAGACCACATCAGCCTGGATCTCATTGTTCACATCATTATCAGCGTTTTGGTCAAAGCCATTCAAAACGTCTCTAGGAAGTTCCAAACTTTCCTGCATTTTCCTGTCTTCTGCTGAGCCCTTCAAACTGTTCCAACCCCTGCCTGTTACGCAGTTCCAAAATTGCTTCTGCATTTTCAGGTATCTTTTCAGCAGCATCCCACTCTACTGATACCAGTTTACTGTATTAGTCTGTTTTAATGCTGCTGATAAAGACATACCCAAGACTGGGCAATTGACAAAAGAAAAAAGGTTTAATTGGACTTACAGTTTCATGTAGCTGGGGAAGCCTCACAATCATGGTGGAAGGCAAAGAGGAGCAAGTCGTATCTTACATGGATGGCAGCAGGCAAAGAGAGCTTGTGCAGGAAAACTCCCCCTTATAATAACCATCAGACCTCATGAGACTTACTCACTATCAGGAAAACAGCACAGGAAAAGCCTACCTCCATGATTCAATTACCTCCCACCAGGTTCCTCCCACAACGTATGGGAATTCAAGATGAGATTTGGGTGGGGACACAGCCAAACCACATCAATGAAGCTCTCTGTTGTATATGTTAATGCTGATAATGTTTTTTTGTTTTGTTTTTGAGATAGAGAAGGAGATCTTAGAGACAAAAAAGGGGAAGCTCCATTAAAATTGGTAAAGGAAGAAACATAATATGAAAGGAGGGAAATAATGAGGTAAAAGATGCAGAGACTGCTTTCCAGACAAAGTAAGAATGAACTTCACTTTGGAATAACAAAGCAGTGCTTGCTTGGCAAGGTGAGTCTTAGAATCTGACTAACATCAACAGGGCAGAGTCTCAGGTAATTAACAAAACCAGGAAGGAACAGGGAGCAGCAATGCTAAAACACAAGAAACCAGGTTACTTTGTCCTACTTCATAGTTGTTATTTTCCTAATCATTGGAGATAAGCTATGATTAACAGAAAAACTACCCATGTAAAATATTGTCACCCAACTTTTAAGAAAAACAAGAAAGAAGATACAAAACTTAGCAAACAGAATAAGTAATTTCAGAGAATCAGAATTAAGAAAAGAAACAAATGTAATTACAGTAAGTGTAATTCATATCTTCAGAGACATGCAAGAAGAGGTTACATTTTAGAAAATACTGATAATAGCTCTTGGATTAAAAACTCAACAGATGTTCTGAAGAGAACAATAGACATAGTTAAATATAGATCTAGCAAGTTTGAAGTTTAAAAGTTGAATAATTTTCTCTGAATCCAATGGCTAGGAAAAAATGAAGAAAGGTAAAGGGAGGTAAAGTGAAGATAAAGAATTGTTGACGTAAAGTTGTTTAAAATGCTAGAAAAAAAGGAAAGTAAACATAAAGATGGAAATAATTAAAGAACTAATTTAAATATTTTTTAGAACTAGAAATACTGTAGATTTGAGATTTAAAGTTTTCATAGAAGTATGAACTTATATTAATGGAGAAATTCTACTGACAGACATCTCTTGAAGAAGCAATGGGATACTAATGATTAGGACAGAATCATAAAGACTTCCAGAGTAGGAGGATAGAAAGGTAATTTTCAATGGAATAAGAAGTAGATAGAAAATTTATTCTTAAACATGTAGATGTTGTTAATAACTGGGACAAGACCATCAATGTCTGAAGAAATAAATGTTTTTACAAATAGTGTCCTATAAGTACCCAAATACGCATTTAATTTTGTGGACAAAGCAAAGACAATTGTGCATATCTCCCAATTCCCAAGCATTTAAAAATCCAAAAATAAAATAATAAAATTAACAAACAGATTTTTAGAATTATATCTGGCAGGAGTTTGGATCAGTCATAGAGCGCAATAGCATACTTGAAAATAAGGACAATATAGCCATTTTAATGATATTGATTCTTCCTATCCATGAGCATAGAATGTTTTTTCATTTGTTTCATCCTCTCTGATATCTTTGGTGTTTTTAGTTCTTACAGAGATCTTTCACCTCACTAGTTAGTTGTATTCCTAGGTATTTGATTCTTTTTGCAGCAATTGTGAATCAGATTGCATTCCTGATTTGGCTCTCCGCTTGACTCTTGTTGGTGTATGGGAATGCGAGTAATTTTTGTATGTTCTTTTTGTATCCTGAGACTCTGCCAAAGGTGTTTTTCATCTTAAGGAGCTTTCGGGCCTTAAGCTTTTGGGCCTATAAAGTTTTCTACATATAGGATCATGTAATCCACAGACAGGGATAGTTTGACGTCCTTTCTTCCTATTTGGGTACCCTTTATTTCTTTCTCTTGCCTAACTGTTTTGGCAAGGACTTCCAATACTATGTTGAACAGGAGTGGTGAGAGAGGGCATCCTTGTCTTGTGCACAAAATACACTAAAATAAAATTGCTTAAAACTAGTGATAAAGAAAAATTCTCAAAGCGGCCAATGACAAAAACACAGTTTGCACAGAGGAACAAAAAATGCCAGCAAACATTTTATTGGAAACAAAGAAAATTAGAAGATAATGAAGCAACATCTTTAAAGTACTGGAAGATAAACATTGTCAGCTGGGAATTGTAGACTCAGAGAAACTATCTTTCAAGATGTAGGTGAAATAAAGATTTTGTTCAGGCACTTAGAACCTGAAAGAAATCATCACCAGTAAAACAACACTATAAAAAATGTTAAAGAAAATGTTTCAGGCAGAAGTAAAATAATATCAAAAGGAAATTTGGATCTACATAGAAGAATGAAAAGCACTGGAAATGGTATCAACATGGTTAAATATATAAGATCCTTTTATTTCTGTTTGAATTCAATTGATTGTTTAAACAAGGGGTCAGCAAGCTATAGCTTCATGGGTGGACTGCCTGTTTATGTGAACAAATTTTTACTGAGACACATTCATGCTCATTTGTTTATGTATTATCAATGGGTGCTATAGAATTACAAAAGCAGAATTAAGTAGTTGTAACAGAGCCTAATGGCACACAAGCCTAAAATATTTAGCTTTTAAGGAAAGCATGTCCGGTTCTGGTGGCTCATGCCTGTAATCCCAGCATTTTGGGAGGCCGAGATGGGCGGATCACGAGGTCAGGAAATTAAGACCATCCTGGGCAACATGATGAAACCCCGTATCTACTAAAAATACAAACATTAGCTGGGTGTGGTGGCATGTGGCTGTAATCCCAGCTACTCGGGAGGCTGAGGCAGGACAATCGCTTGAACCCGGGAGGCAGAGGTTGCAGTGAGCTGAGATGGCACTACTGCACTGCAGCCTGGTACAAAGCTAGACTCTGTCTCAAAAAAAAAAAAAAAAAAGAGAGAGAAGAAAACAACATTATTAACCTCTAATTTAAACAAGAATAATAACAATTTATAATGAGCTTACAACATATATAAAAATAAATTAATGACAATAACAGAACAACAGTTAGGATAAAATAATGAAAATGTTGTTACTTCATGATACTGTATGTAAAGTAGTATATTATAATTTGAAGGTAGAATGTGATGAGTTAAACATGTATACTACAAACTCAAAAGCAACCATTAAAATTAACAATATAGAGAGTTTTAATTCTCAAGTAAAAAAGGAGATAAGATGAAACCATAAAATATATTTAATTCATAGAAAAGAAGGCAAACAAGAGGGAAAATAAGCAAAAAACAGATGGGATGGTAGGGGAAGCAAAATTTTATTACCATCTTCTTAGTTTTTTTTTTTTCCTCTGCTAAGCCTGAGAATTAAATTGACATAAGACAGATCAACAGGAAAATGCATACAAATTTATTTTAATGCATGTATTATGTGGCATGCGAGATTCTTTAAGGAAGGAAGACTCCATGACATAATCACTTATGTTCTGAAGTAGACACAGAGTAGTAAATTGTGAAATATGACAAGACAAAGGAGCTGGAACTAGTGTAGTTAATTGGGTGAAGAGGTGATTAACAGGATAAGGGTTGGTTTAACAAGGTCTGTTTGTACAGGTTTCCCTTGCCTCAACTTCTCATCCTGGGTGATGAGACTGTTACTTTCCTTCTTGTATAAAGAGGGCAACTTTCATGTAGAAATTTTACCTCCTACTTTTAAGAAAAAGGAAAATCAGAGTGCTTTAAAGGAAAATCAGAGTGCTTTTCTTGCATCTGCTATTTTTCAAGTGTCTTTAACTCAAAAAAATCAATATGCCAAAGTGGCATGTTTGGGGGTATCTGGTTCTGAATTCCTTCAGGAAAGATAGAAAGCAAAAGCAAAATAATAGGTTTAAAACTAAAAATATCCAGGTGCGGTGGCTCACGCCTATAATCCCAGCACTTTGGGAGACTGAGGTGGGCAGATCATGAGGTCAGGAGTTCGAGACCAGCCTGGCCAACATAGTGAAACCCTGTCTCTACTAAAAATACAAAAAATTAGCCAGGCATGGTGGTGGGCACCTGTAATGCCAGCTACTCAGAAGGCTGAGGCAGGAGAATGGCTTGAACCCAGGAGGCAGAGGTTGCAGTGAGCCAAGATCATCGCATTGCACTCCAGCCTGGGCAACAGAGCCAGACTCTGTCTCAAAAAAAAAAGAAAAAAAAAAGAAAAAAAAATATATATATATGCACACATAACCACATTACATATAAATGGTCTAAATATACCAATTTAAAAGCAGATTGGATCAATAAAACAAGATCTAAGTTATTACTGTCTAGAAGAAATTCAAGAATATCCTAATAAAAGATATCTATGTAAAAACAATAGCTGGCATCATACTTAATGAAGAAAAATCAGTTTATTTCCCCCGATTTCAGGAACAAGATGAGTCCATTAACTCTTAGCACTTTGTTTTAACATTTCACTAGACGTTCTACCAAGTAAAATAGACAAAAAACATAAACAAAAGAATTACAGACGGGAAAGGAAAATGTAGATTGGGTTTATTTATAGACGGCATGTCTATGTAGAAAGTCCACTGAAATCTACAAAAACACTGCTGGCTATAATAAGTGAGTTAGCAACATAAAAAAGAAAAAAAGCAACATATTAAACTAATATTTCCATATACCGGCAATGAACAATAAAAAATTAAAATAAAAGTACTATTAATAATATCATGAAAAATGTAGAAGAATTAGGAATTAATCTATCAAATGATGTGAGAGTCTGGTACACTAAAACTCAAAACACTGCAGAAAGTTAAAGAAGACTTAAATAAATGGAAAGATGTAATATGAATATGGGTTAGAAAATTCACATGGTAAAATGTGATTATCCCTAAATATAGATTCAATACAATCCCAATTAAAATATTATTAGGCATTGTTTTATAGGAATTTACACACTAATTTTAAAACTTCAGTAGAAATGCAAAGAGTCTAAAATAGCCAAAATAATCCTTAAAAATAAGAATATTTTTGAAGGATTAGCACAATCTAATACCAAAGCTTATAAGGCTACAGTAATGAAAATAGTGTGATATTGGCATAAAGATAGACAGAAATGTCATTGGAAGATAATAGAAAATTCAGAAATATATGTACAGAATTTTGGTAAATTGGTGTTCTCCAAAGATACAAAGGTAATTCAGTAAATAAAAGATAGCCCTTCAACAAATTCTGCTGGAACAATTAGATACTCATATGCAAAAAGTAGAACTTTAACATGTAACTCATGATACAAAAATTAATTTAGTACAGATCATATGCCTAAATGTAAAATGTAAAAACAAAGTGAAAAAAAAGGAAGAAAAATTATGTATAGGAGAAAATATAGAAAAGTATTTGACCTCAGGCTAGTAAATACTACTTAGACATGACACAAACACCATTTCATCAAAGTAGAAATTGACAACTTGAGTTCATCAAAATGTAAAACATATGTTCCTCAGGAAACACTGTAAAACAAATAGAAATATAAGACACTACTGAGAACAATATTTGCAAAATATATGTCTGGCAAAAAAGTTGTGTCCAGAAAACATAAGAACTCTCAAAACTTGATGATAAATCTAACAACTCTAATAAAAGTAGGCAAATGACTTAAATGAATACTTCTTCTCTAAAGAACATATGTAGATAGAAAGTAAACACATGGAAAGATCCTCAATATCATTAGTCATTAGGGAATTAATCTGTGTCTGTCAAAAATGAGTTGGGTACAGTTGCTCAAGCCTGTAATCCCAGCACTTTGGAAGGTCAAGGCAGCAGGGTTTCTTGACCCCAGGAGTTAGAGAGCAGCCTGGGCAACATAGTGAGATCCTGTCTCTACAAAAAAGAAAGAGACATGGCATGGTGTCTCTATTTAGCTAGGCATGGTGGCACATGCTTGTAGTACCAGCTACTCGGAAGCTGAGGTGGGAGAATCACTTGAGCCCAGGAGGTGGAGCCTGCAGTGAACTATGGTTGTGCCAATGCACTCCAGCCTGCGTGACAGAGCAAGAACCCATCTCAAAAAAGAAAAAAAGAGGCCAGGCGCAGTGGCTCACACCTGTAATCGCAGCACTCTGGGAGGTCAAGGTGGGTGGATCACCTGAGGTCAAGAGATCGAGACCAGCCTGACCAACATGGTGAAACCCCATCTCTACTAAAAATACAAAAATTAGCTGGGCATGGTGATGCGCGCCTATATCCCAGCTACTTGGGAGGCTGAGGCAGGAGAACTGTTTGAACTCGGGAGGTGTAGATTGCAGTGAGCCGAGATCGCGCCATTGAACTCCAGCCTGGGCAACAAGAGTGAAACTTCGTCTCAAAAAAAAAAAAAAAAAAAGAAAGAAAAAAGAATGGCTAAAGTTAAAAAGGCTGGTCATGCCAAGTGTTGGCAATACTATAGAGGACAACCAACATACATGCACTGCTAATGGTAATGGAAATTAGTACAATGACTCTGGAAAAAGGCTTGACAGTTTTTAAAATATTTTGACGTATGCACCTATCATATGACTGCCAATCAATTTGTAGGGAAATGAAAGTATATGTACATAAAAAACTTGTACCAAAACATTCACAGCACTTTTTTATAGGAGAGAGGGGCTAATAGTGAAGAGCATGTAACAATCAAATATTCATTAACAGATAAATGAATAAGCAAGCTTTGATATATCCATATTTTGAAATACTACAAGCAATAAAAGAAATGAAACTTTCATCCATACTATAAAATAGATTAATCTCAATAAATATGCTAATTAATAGAAGCTAGATCAAAAGAGAACAAACAGTATGATATCATTTATATAAAAAGAGGCATTAGAGCCTAGTAGTTAAGAGTGCAGCTTCTGGAAGCAAAATCCTTAGTATGATGTTTTGGCTCATTGACTGCAGCATTTATTTTATGTGCGCTCTTGAGGTTTTTATAGAAACAATATGCCTCAGTTTACTCATCTATATAATGACTATATCGATAGTCATCTACTTTATAAAATATATATTTTATAATGTAATACTTTATAATATATATTTGATATATATTTTAAAATGTCTTTATTATATTTTATAAAGTATAAATAATATAAAATAATATCTATAGTTGTTGACTTATAAAAATAAAGATTAAATGAACAAAAATATGTGAAGCACTAGTTTACTACCTAGAAAATGGTACATTCTAAATATCTTCATGATTGTAATAAATAAATGTATCCTTATATGTTATTTTATTAATAATAAACAAAAATTTATTTTTAGAATAATGAATATAATTATTTTTATTTTTAGAATAAATAATAATGAATAATAATATTATTATTCATTCTTATACACCTTTGAAAAATCATAGGGTAAAATGATTGAAATTCTGTGTATAGCATCTCAGCAGATGAGATCTATAAGAAAGAACCATTGCACCCCCATTTACTTAAATCAGTTATAGTTTAAGTTGTTTGAAAAAAGTCATTTATTGGAATCACCACATGACATCAATCAAGAGCAAAGTGTGTAGAATACTGTCAAGTTTTTCTCCAAGAATTTATTTCTGTTTTCAATTTGCAACTCACTGAAGCATTGAACATTTTATGAGCTCTACAGCTAACAATGCCTGGGAATTTAAATATTTTCCATGGAATATGATTACTTCAAATGAAAAAAAAGAAGCAGAAATGATAATGAATAATTTACCATTTATATATGGTACAAAGTAGAATCTTTAAAAATAAAGACACAAACAGCAACAACCACAAAAACCTCAATTGTTTCTGCTTTTGTTCTATTTTTAGTGAACTTAAAATTTTAAGAGAAAGTCTTTCTCCTTGTTTTTAACACGTGTAGAGAGAGGTGTGGAATATTGTAAAGCTTTTTATCTGACTCGGCCTGAGTCTCACTAGATGAAGACTCATCGAGTTTAGTAGGCCGAATAGTTTTTTCTAAAAGATATGTGACACGTTAATCCTTGGAATCTTTGAATATAATGACACGTTAAACAGTGAATATTACCTTATATGGCAATGCTTGTGATTAAGTTAAGGACTTTAAGGGAAGGGGCTTATTCTGAAATATACTCACGGGTCTTTAATTCAATGACAAATGTTTTTTTTTTTTTTTTTTTTTGAGATGGAGTCTTGTTCTTTCGCCCAGGCTGGAGGAGTGCAGTGGTGCAATCTCTGCTCACTGCAACCTCTGCCTCCCAGGTTCAAGCAACTCTCCTGCCTCAGCCTCCTGAGGAGTGGGATTACAAGCGCCTGCCATCATGCCCAGATAATTTTTATACTTTTATTAGAGGAAGGGTTTCACCATGTTAGCCAGGCTGGTCTCAAACTCCTGACCTCAAGTTATTCGCCCTCCTCGGCCTCCCAAATTGCTGGGATTACAGGCATGAGCCACTGTGCCTGGCCTGACAAATGTTCTTTTAAGAGTGAGTCAGAGGGAGACTTGACACACAGAAGAGGAGGCAATGTGACCAGGGAGCAGAGATTGGAGTGGTGCAGCCCCCAGAAGCTGGGGTAAAGGAATGCTCGCATGAGTAAAGGAATGCTGGCAGCCCCCAGAAGCTGGAAGATCCACAGAATGGATTCTCTCTAGGGACCTCAGAGCGAGTGTGGCCCCACTGTATTTAGGACTTCTAGCCTCTAGAACTGTTTTAGAATACATTGCTGTTGCTGAAGTCATTTAGTTTGTGTCAATTTGTTGTGATAGCCTAGGGAACTAATATAATGAAGCATGGAGAGAGAGAGAGAGAGAGGATAAAAGGTGAAAACCATGTGCCAAAACTAAAGAAAAGAGATGCTGACATTTGTGATTAAATAGAATAATTGCACTATTTAAGATTAATCACTTGAGCCTCGGAGGTGGAGGCTGTAGTGAGTCATCATGGTGCCACGGCATTCCAGCCTGCATGACAGAGAGAGACTCTGTCTTAGGGAAGAAAAAAAAAGATTAAGGTGGTCCAGAATGCACCCAAGCATAAAATGCAAAGATGATCTTGCCCCATGTATATTTTAGCATACTACTTAGGTACTGTTTATTTTTTAATTATCTCCTTTTTACATTTTGACAATTTTACCCCAGTGGTCAAGCCTTGTATTAGAAAAGACAGAAAGAAGGAAAAGAAAGAAGGCAGGAAGGAAGGCAAGGGGAAAGAAGGGGAAGGAAAGGAAGTGGAAGGGAAGGGGAAGAGAAGGGGAAGAGAAGGGGAAGGGAAGGGGAAGGGAAGGGGAGGGGAAGGGGAGGGGAAGGGGAGGGGAAGGGGAGGGGAGGGGAAACATGTTGCTTTGGACAGAATAAATGGGTAAGGGTTTCTATTTTAATTAGATTAAGATTAATTAGATTAAACCTCTGAGGAAGTCTTACTTGAGCTGAGAAACTAAATATGAGAGGGAGGAGTACCACTGCATTGGTTATAGATGGGGTAGAAGTCTACAAAAGAGTTCATTGAGGAATAGAATAGTAAATAAGTGACTTAATAATGAGTTTGTTGCCGGGCGCAGTGGCTCAAGCGTGTAATCCCAGCACTTTGGGAGGCCGAGGCGGGCGGATCACGAGGTCAGGGGATCAAGACCATCCTGGCTAACACGGTGAAACCCCGTCTCTACTAAACAAAATACAAAAATTTAGCCGGGCATGGTGGCGGGAGCCTGCAGTCCCAGCTAGTCGGGAGGCTGAGGCAGGAGAACGGCGTGAACCCGGGAGGCGGAGGTTGAGTGAGCCAAGATCGCGCCACTACACTCCAGCCTGGGCAATAGAGCGAGACTCTGTCTCCAAAAAAAAAAAAAAAAATAATAATAATAATAATGAGTTTGTATTGTTCTTATTTTGCAAAAGAATGCAAGATCTGGGTAGAGAAAAGGCAAGAGGGAGGACTTCCCAGATTGAATCAATAATATTAACAGTATCAATCTGCCACTAATAATTATTTAAGAAAAGTATTTTTCTTTCAGTTTTATTTATTAAATAGTTTCTACTAGCCTAATGTTAAAGTCTGCCAACTAGTACCTTCAAGTTAATCACATTCACTTTTGATTCCCTCTTAACACATTAAGATATTTTATAACTCTGTGAGTTTAAAATCTGATGCAAATTCATTGTGGTCAGGCAAGATGCAAGACCAGTCAGGCAAATACACTTCCCTTATTTTTTATGGGTCTGAAATATCTTTTGTCTTGGGAGATGTATTATTATACAAAAGATCTATTTGGCAATTTATAGTTTGCTTTTTATCTATTCAATTGTTCCCTGGTATTCTTAGAACAGAAAAGCGAACCTTTTAAGAATAATAACATGCCAATTACCTTTAATTACTCTCCAGCTCTTTCAGTTAAACAAAAAAACCCTCTCATTTTAGGTTTAGTTTGTAACTGAATAGAACATTTTATATCTAAACCCTTAATGGAAAGGCTTTCCTATTTCCCACAATTTTCTTTTCTATTTAATGTATTCTCTAAATTTAATACATTATTTAAAATGCCATCCATATACCTGATCAACTTGAAAAGATGGAGAAACACACAAGTAAAGTTTGTTATCTGTTCACATTTTATTCTGTTTCCATTTTCATAATCAAATAAATGTAGACTGTAAAATACTTATTTACAAATCTGTCTGATTTATATAATAAACTCTGAGGAAACTGGAATGAAGCAGTGCTACAAGCAAGGGACAGAATAAAGTTTTGTGTATTAATTACCTGATTTATACTTTAGTCCCTTTAAGTAAAAGAACGTAACAAATAGAAGGATAGTTATTAATATATTTGGAGGAGAAAGAAAGATAAAATGAAAGATACAATGTTCTTAAAAACTGAGAGTTTTATCTTTTTTCAGAAGTCTAAAAAATATTTAAACATCTTCCTTTATGTTAGCGCATATTTATGTTATACATTTCATTTACAAGTAATTGTATGGTAAATAGTTACAAAAACAACAAGGAAAAGCTTTGAGTTAAGGAGCTCATGATTTTCAGTGTAAAATACATGTTATTTGAGTAATTTGGGAAACTGACAGAAGCTTTCTTGCAGTCAAGAATGCTGCTCAAAAATTAATTTTAAAATAAAAATAAAAGAAAAAAAATCCTGAAAGCTTATGTAGCAAAACAAGTATTGTAGTCCATTACAAAAATTAGCCTTTTCTGAAATCATGTTAAAAAGCAAAAAGATCTTAGAGCAGAATTTCATGTACAGTTCATTTTGGGACTGATCTTACTTCCTTGGTAGGTGGTCTTACTTCATCCTGTTGGAGCCCATCATGGAGAGCTGTTTTACAAATATTCTTAGCTCTACTACCCACATAAAAATTCAACCTATGACTCCTGTTTCTGATAAAGTAGCTATTTAAATTCATTAAGAATGTTTCATCATTTTAGTATGCAAAATGCATTGTTAGATTATGTAAGTGACACATGCTATCTTAAAAGTTAATAAATCTCCCAGAAGAAATTAGACTCAGATGCTATATTTATTATGGAGAATTAAGAAATACCTAAGGTTACTGTGATCATCACTTAGGAGTTTTGAATCAATTATATGAGAAACTAAAGAAGAAACTTTGACCGGAAAAAAAATGAACCAACAAGAAAAAAATTATATAAAGTCATTTTATTGGACACAAATGCTAAAAATTAGAAAAACCATACATTTTACTCTATCAATCTGTTAGGAAAAACTATAGAATATGATAGTGATTGCATTGATTCTGCTTAGCAAATTAAATGCAAAACTAAGATATTCACCAAATATAAAATATAGTTATTTTCTAAGAAATAAAACTCACACAACTGCCATTTTTAGCAGAATGGTGGCAACTGCCATTTTTAGCAGAAACCAAAACTATTTCCTGTTAACAAGAAGGAAAAACCATCAGTGAACACTCAAGTAATAATCAGGGGACTAGGATGGACTCTCAGTAAGAAACCACTGGAATATACCTGGACTAAATCTATTCTAACAAAATTAAGTATACCAACCGAATAGTTTTGTGTGTGCATTTGTTTTTACTATATACTTTTATAATCTCAAAAGTACCTAAAAGGAGGCAAAACAAGAAAGGATTTGTCTACAGAAAGTAAAAATAAGAATGATTATAAAATATTGTTAAAGAAAAGACACTGCACAGAATAGTCATGGAGATTTCTGTACTAATCACCTTGATCATAATGAATAATCACTGAATTTCACTGGCCTATTTTCCTCCACAAGATTCTATGTTAGGTAAGCAACTTTGGGTAATTCAATAATAGGAAAGATGTTTCTTTTATAACATATCTGATTTGTACAACTAATTGAAATACATTTTATGCTATAAAATAAAAATGGTAACTCTTATTTACACAGCTATTTATTGTGAATTTGTATAAAGACAGCTCATCCTTAGAACATAATAGACTAGGATTCTTGGTAAAGTATATATTGTATATCTGAAAAATGTAATAGTGACAATATTAAAGTGTTGCCACTTAGTGCTGTGTTACCTAAAGTGTGTGACGCTTTCTGTCAGTCTTATCACTGACATTTAAATTTCAGATATAGGTGAATTCAATATTGAAGTGAATAGAGCTACCGACATTTGCTTTCCTAATATTCATGGAAGTTGTTGTTGACCTCTCATAGATAAATAAGCAAATAATATCTTCAAAAATATATCTAACTTGACTCAAATACTTCTAAGTATTTTGTCATTTGAAGGGATATGAGCAAGTTGAGAAGAAGAAATGTGGAGAGAGAAATATTCATGAAAACTAAATTTATAACATTCAACTATTGCTCAATTCTTAGAAATTTAATCACTACTTATATTTTAAAGCAAAATATTTTTGAACTTATTTAGAAAAATATGACTTCATCTCTCATATGTCCATTCAAAGTTTTAAACAAAGTATAAAAGGAAATTAAACAGTGGAGGAAATGAGAAAGGTCACAGGCATTCAAGAGGTTTCAACAAATTTCTGGAGGAATGAAAGGTAATTGAAGGATGTGTTAAAATAATTTCTATTATTATCTTTATAGATTTAGTGTCCAGTAAACCTTTTATAAACAATCCAACTTGCTGTTTTGTGTTCTTGAACTTTATTTAAACTGAATTATATTGTACATATCCTTTTGTGACTTAATCATACCACTGCATATTAAGTTTGTGAGAGTAAGCCACATTAACATATCTAAATAAAGTTATCTATTTTTTTTCTAAAGTGTAGTATTCCACTGTATGAATCTACCACATTCTACTGTTGTTTAACTTTTGCATTGCTTATAGTACTTAACTGAGCCTGTAAATATTTTGGATTACATTTCTTAATGGCCAACCATGTACATACAAAATAAGGAGTGAAAGCCAATTGCTGATTAGAATATATGGTCATCTTCAATATTACTGGGTAATACAAGACTCTTTTTAAAACGGATATAATTTCCATTTCCAGGAAAGCATATGAAATTATTATTGCTCTATATGTTTGCCAGAAGTCTGTCTTGTCAGACCGTTTTTGGTCAATCTCTTGTATAAGTAATAATGTACATATAAAACATTTTCATTTGCATTTTTGTGTTAAAAATAAGTTAAAGTGATTCTAAATAGGTATGGTGGACACTTACATTGTACATTTTATAAAGCACATGTGCAAGCCATTTTCTTTGTTTTACTGTCGGGTTTTCTGTAATTTTTGCCTGGCTTTACATTTAAATATTGATTGCCAAGGAATTGATTGTTAAATATTATATAAGGTAAAGAATCACTTTAATTATTTTCCATATGTATAGCCAGCTTTCTCACTCTCATTTATTGGCAAATTTATTTTTCACCACTGATCTATAATACTAGCTTTCTTACATATCATGGGTTCTTATATTTTCCTTACTGTAGTCTACCTATTCCATTTCATTGATTATTTATTACTTTGTTAATACCACATTGCATTAATTCTTATATTTCCTGTAATATATTTTTCCTTCCTCAATAAATTATTAACTGAATTTTAATATTTTTAGAGTTTACATAAATTCTAGAATTAGCTTGTCAATATCTAAATCAAACCTTACTGGGTTTTACTTTGGATGCACTAGTTACAAAGATTAATTTTGGGGAGAAGTGATTTCATTAAAGTCTTTCAATTCAAGAATATATTTATGTCAATGTTATGTCTATGTTTATTTGAACTTTATTTAAACTGAGTTATACTGTACGTATTCTTTTGTGACTTAATCATGCCACTAAATACTATGTTTGTGAGAGTAAGCCACATTGACACATCTAAATAAAGTTCTCTACTTATTTGAAATGCATTTCAATATTGCATAATACGTTTGTGTCAAAGCATCTTGCTAAAAGCTCATATTCATTAGTATAATGTATCTTAGAATCATTTTGAATTTTCTGTGTACTTAGTGTCATCGGTAACATAGTAATCTGTTTTCTCTTTCATAATTCTTATTTTTTTAATATTTACAATCCTATCCCAGTGTCTAAGACCTGCAAAAGGATAAATAAAATTGCTTGTACCATCTATGTTTATTTTGTTCCCAATCACAAAGGAAATATTTGAACATTCCATTGTTAAGTGTTATAATTTCAATAGAACTTTTGAAAACAAATGTTATCAGTTAAACTAGATTCTCTTTTAATTTCGGGTTGTTAAAATGTATGACTTTTTAAGAAAATAAAATTAAATATGCTTATAATATTGTTAAGTTATTTGTTGTGGTGTATCATATTAATTGATACCTTTACATGAGGCCATTATTGCTTCCCAGGGTTTCTTAGAATAAACATTGGCTGTGATGTCTTACATTTTAATGCATTGCTTATTTCTGCATGGAACTTTTTTAAGTTTTCCTTCAATATTTTCATAAATTACATTGGTGTTTAATTTACTTTCCCTTTACTATCCTTGTCAGGTTATAATATCAGAGTCATAATAGCATAATAAAATAAAATAGAGTATGTTCTTTCCTGTTTCATGCTCAGAAAGAATTGTATGTAAGATTGGAATTATTGTTTTGTTTCATGTTTGAAACAACTTGCCAGTAAAGTCATCATGGCTTGAAATTATCTTTATGATATGATTTCTGACTACTGATTACATGCATTTGTTGTAGCACAATTCAGATTTTTCTTTTCACTTTAGGTTACTTTTGGAAAAATGCATGTTTCAAGTAATTGTACACATTTTACATATATTTCCAAATTTATTGAATTAAACGTTTTCATACTATACTAATTTAACTTCTTGATATTTGTATTATTTATAACAAAACTCAATAAACTGTGGCAAATAAGCCAGACAGTATTTATAAATAAAGTATTACTGGAACACTGTCATGCTCATTCATTGACATACTGTCAATTTATGCCACAACAATAGAATTGATTAGTTGCAACAAACCATATAGCCCAAAAACCTAAAATAATTACCAACAGATCCTTTCCAAAAAACAAAAAAAATTCTTGACACCTGATGTATAATTATTTCCTATTTTGATTCCTGAGATGGCATACTTGTTTCTTCTCTTAATTTTATCAAGCCATTTCTCCAGAGTTTTGTTATTGTATGGCTCCTACAACAACTAACAAACTTTTGGCCATATTTCTTGACTTTTCTTTCCCTGTATTCTTAATCACTATGCATGTATTTATTATTTCCTTTTATTTCTGTTGATATTTCTAACTTCTACCAATAAATTCAAAACATTTTAAAAATTAATTTGTTGTCCTCATAAAATAAGAATTTAAGGTTCTACATTTTCCTCTAAAATGACACATTTTATAATGTAGTATACATTTTTTAATTAAAAATATTTTATAATTTCCATTATGATTTGCTCTTGGGTGTTGAGTTACTAAGAAGTATATTTCTGAGGTTTTTCTTCAATATGACTGACTATAGATATTTGACTCTAGTTATTCTCAGAAAGAGAAAGCAAAGTTATGGATAAATAATCGTTAATTCCAATATCTATATAGACGGAAGTGTGCTAGAGCACCACAAGAAGAAATTTGAACACAGAAAAATAAGGAAGCAAGAACCCAGCAGACATTATACTCTGAGGGACTTGATGTTCCATGGAAAAGCATAGGTGGGGGTGTCTTTTGCTCTTCTCACCTCTGCGGCAGACTGCTTGTTTCTGAACTGTTGGAGAGCCCTCCATTCTCACAAGCCCAAGCACTGGTGTGGGCCGCAATCTTGGAACAAATTGAGGACAGAGAACAAGGCTACTATTTCCTGCAGTGCCACTTGCCCTTCACCCAGCCCCAAGATGAGGTGGTGGGCACCATACTGGATATGCCTCTGTGGTGGACTTCTATACTGCCTTTGAGTGAGAGAGAGGCTTGCCCCATCCCCTTGCCGGCTTCCTTCTCCGTCCCTGCGTCGAGCTGTGGCTAGATTTCTCCATGAGGGCAGAGGGCAGGGCAAGAGGCGTGAGAAGCATCTTCTGGAAGGTCTGCGGGCACCCTCCTGCGGGTGGACAATGAGCGCCTGGGAGGCCGTTGTCCTTGGTTGGGGAGCGGTCGTCTGGATCTAGCCTAGCAAAGAGGCTGCTCCGGATGGGGAGGAAATGAAAACCCCTGCAGCTCCGACGCAGATGCCCACGTTGCCCAGGCCTTCACAGACCCCCAAGCCGGAACCGCCGGGAAAACGATTGCCAACCGGCCACAACACCCAGGCAGAGACGCGGGGAGAGGCTGACCAGAAGAAAGGCCGACGTGCAAGAAACCCAGCCTCCGGCGCACAGGGAACATGTGTCCCAAGGCGCACGCACACACAGACGGACAGAGACAGAAAGAGAGGGCGACGGAAAGAGCGAGAAGGGAGAGAGGGAGAGAGAGAGAGAGAGACTTAAGAGAGAGACGGTAGTGGGCACACAGACACGCACGCGCGCGCGCGCGCGCACACACACGCAGACACACACACACACACACACACCCATAACGGACACAGACATACAGCAGGTAACACCCACCCCCAGGCAGCCCCTGAAGCTGCCGGGTTCTGGTCTCCGCGACTACGAGCCACCGGTGAGACAGCAGCCCACGCGCACACAGGGAGACCTGTCCTCGACATCACAAGGGCGCCACTTTTGGGGAGACTCACCCGCACACCGTCCGCGCACGCCTGAGGCTGGGATCCCGCGCTGCCTCCCCGGCGATCTGTCTGAGTTTTCTTCCTCCTGGGGTTTCTTCCTGCTGGTGGACCCTCCGCGAATCCCGGCCTCCGGAGACCGTCCTGGTAACTGCCCTGGCCAGGGCTGGTCTCAGCCCCGACTCTGACGCACGATCACACAGGGCTCCTACTTCGCCAAGTCTCAAGGACCCATCCCCGGGCAATGGTGGCGGTCACTGTGACCAAAGCGGCGGCTCGGGCCTCGCGCATGCGCACTGGCGAGGCCGACTCACCCGCCCCACCCCCCCTTACTCGGCAGAGTCAGGCTGCGGACCTTTTAAAAAATGGCGGCGACGCGGCGGCTGCGGGGACTGGGGCGGCGGTGCTGGAGGTTGCGGCGGCGGCTGCGGCGCAGCCCGGGGCGGCGGGTGGGAAGAGGACTACCAGAGGGGCCTGCGGGAGACCCAGGGTCGGACCCATAGGAGTCCTGTCGTCAGGACCTCCTTGATCGGTCTTCTGCTTGGGTTCTCGGTGAAGGAGGAGCTTCGGGGTGTCGGCTGGGCTGCGCGGACTCCTCTTGGGATCCGATGATGGATCCCACCCGGTGATCGGGAATGGGGTTACAATGCAGTGAGGCGGAAAGGCTCTCGCCGGGGCACAGAAAGATCCCCAGGGCCACAAGGCGTGCTGTCGCCTGCAAAGGCACTGACCCACGAGCCCACTGCCTCCCTCCTTCCTGGGTGGAGCAGGGGCCTGCCTTCATCTCCAAGGCCCGGGGGCTCCGGCATCTCGACGCGGCTTCCGGCGACACGGGCAAAGAGAGACAGAGGCTAGTCCGAGCCGGAGCCAGTGTGACCACACGTGGCACTGACGTCCCCCAAGAGCACATGCAGTGAGCCTGTGTCTCTGAGGCCGTAGTGGGCGACGATGAGACGGACAGTGATGTCCAGGCCTGCGCCCGGGGGCCACTGGAGACCTGCCCCTCAAAGCGGAGGAAACGCCAAGCGCACCTGAAAACCTGCGAGACAGGGCCTGTACACGAGTCCAATACTCCTACTTCGCCAAGTCTCAGGGACCCATCCCCCAGCAACGGTGGCGGCGCAGAGAAGAGCACGGCGCCGGCGCAGGTGCAGAGAGACAGGAGGCTGATGGGGGGAAGTTGAGGCACCTGGGGCAGAGAAAAAAATGCATCGCCAAGCGGTTTCTGGGTCATCTACTGACGAAAATGTCTTCCCATCAGCCCTTGCGCTGGTCCCCAGGGACCCTGGCATCCGTCGTTGGCGCCCAGGGTGCGCGTCGGGCCACTAGGGGTACCCCAACTCGGACAGAAGGCCCATGAGTTGAATTTGAAGTTTGTGGGAATAGAGGTGAGGCACCAGGGGCAGAAAAAAAACAGGAGACCTCGCCTCAGACAAGCGGGGCCTGGGTCCCCCATGGATGAAAGTGCCTTCCCATTATGCTGTACCCTGGGCAGAGTGGACAGTGACGACCCTGGTTCGAGCCCAGGGTGCGCTTCGGGACCGCTTGCGGTACCAGAAAGCGAACAAATGGTCCATGAGCGGAAGGTGAGGCACCTGAAGCAGAGAAAGTAAAGAAACGCGCCGCCGAGAAGCAGTGCCTGGGTCCCTCACGGAGGAAATTGTCTTCTCCTTAGCCCGTTCGCTTGGCACTGAGGTCCCTGGCGTCCCTGGTTTGATCCCAGGGTACGCCTCGGGCCACTAGTGTTAGCCCAAGGTGGGCAGAAAGCCCATAAGGGGAAGGCGAGGCACCTGGGGCAGAGAAAAAAAAAAACTTCGCTGCAGAGAAGAGCGGCCTGATTCCCCACGGACGAAAGTGTCTTCCCATCAGTCCCTGCACTGGGACCCGGGGACCCTGGTGTCCCTGGTTCGAGCTCAGGGTGTGCCTCAGCCGCTACGTGCACCCCAAGGGGAGCTTTGGGAGCACAAAGCCCATGAGGGAAGGTGAGTTTTGAGGGAGGAGTGGTGAGGCACCTGTCACAGAAAAAGAAAAAAAAACAACCCGCGCCACGGAGAAGCAGGGCCTGGGTCCCCCACGATGAAAATGCCTTCCCATCAGCTCCTGCTCTGGGCCCTGTGGACCCTGGAGACCCTGGTTCAAGCCACGGGTGGGCCTCGAGCCCGCTAGGGGTACCCCCGTGCGCCTCTCTGCGCCTGCGCCGGCGCCCTGTGCCTTTGCGAGGGCGGAGCTGCCTTCTCCTCAGCACAGACCCGGAGAGCATTGCCAGGGCGGAGCTGAGTTCTCCTCTGCACAGACTTCGGAGATACAGCGAAGCGGAGCATGTTCTCCTCAGCACAGACCCGGGCGGGCGGGCCAGGGGCACCGCGAGGGCGGAGCTGCGTTCTGCTCAGCACACACCCGGGAGACACCGCGAAGGCAGAGCAGCGTTCTCAGCACAGACCTTGTGGGCACTGCCTCGCTTTGGGACTACTCGGAGCCGCATCAATGGTGAATAAAATCCTTCCTGTTTGCAGCCCTTAATAATCAGGGTCAGAGACCAGTTAGAAGGGTTCAGTGTGGAAAACGGGAAACCAAAAGCCCCTCTGAATCCTACCCACCGAGGTTCTCCCCAGCCAAGGCGAGGCGGCCGCAGTGCGAGATCCACACCGCAGCCTCGGAAGACAAGCGGGCAGAAATCCCATGAGGGGCAGTTGAGGTTTGAGGAAGGCGAGGTGAGGCACCTGTGGCAGAAAAAAAAAAAAAACCGCACCACGGAGAAGCAGAGCCTGGGTCCCCAACGGACAAAAGTGTCTTCCCATCAGCCCTTGCGCTGGGCCCAGGTGACCCTGGCATTCCTGGTTCGAGACCAGGGTGCGCTTCAGGCCGCTAGGGGTGCCCAAAAGCGGGCAGAAGGCCCATGAGGGGAAGGTGATGCACCTGGGGCAGAGAAAAAAAAAAAAAAAAAAACCGCGCCGCCTATAAGCGGGGCCTGGCTCCCCCACAGAAGAAACTGTCCTCACATCAGCGCTTGCGCTGCGCCCCAGGGACCCTGGTATCCCTGGCTCGAGCCCAGCGTGCGCCTCGGCCTGCTAGGGGTACCCCAAGGCAGACAGAAGGCCCATGAGGGAAAGGTGAGACACCTGGGGCAGAGAAAAAAATAAAAAAACTGCGCCGCCCAGAAGTGGGGCCTGGGTCCCCCACAGACGAACGTCCCTACCCATCAGCCCTGAACTGGGCCCCGGAGACCCTAGCGTCCCTGGCTCGAAACCAGGGTGAGCTTCGGGCCCGCTAGTGGTACCTCAAGGCGGGCAGAAAGCCCATGAGGGGAAGGTGAGGCACCTGGGGAAAAGCGAAAAAAACAAAAACAAAAACGTCGCAGAGAAGCAGAGCCTGGGTCCCCGAGGAAGAAAGTGTCTTCGCATCAGCCCTTGCGCTGGGCCTCGGGGACCCTGGTGTCCCAGTTTCGAACCCAGGGTGTGCGTCTGGCCACTAGGGGTACCCCAAGTCGGACAGACGGCCCATGAGGGGAAGGTGAGGTTTGAGGGAGGAGACGTGAGGCAACTGTGGCAGGAAAAAAAAAAAAAAAAAAAACACGCCGCGGAGAAGCGGGGCCTGGGTCCCCAACGGACGAAAGTGACTTCCCATCAGCCCCTGCGCTGGGCCCCATGGACACTGGCGACCCTGGTTAGAGCCCAGGGTGCGCCTCGTGCCCAATAGGGGTATCCCAAAGCGGGCAGAATGCTCATTAGGGGAAGGTGAGACACCTGGGGCAGAGAAAAAAAAAAACCGCGCCGCAAAGAAGCGGGACCTGGGTCCCCCACGGATGAAAGTGTCTTCCCATCAGCCCCTGCCCTGGGCCCCATGGACCCTGGCAACCCTGGTTCGAGCCCCAGGTGTGCTTCGCGCCCGCTAGGGTTACCCAGAAGCCGGCAGAAGGCCCATGAGAGGAAGGTAAGACACCTGGGGCAAAGGAAAAAAAAAACCGCGCTTGCAGAAAAGCGGGGCCTGGCTCCTCCACGGACGAAGGTGCCTTCCCATCAGCCCCTGCGCTGGGCCCTGGGGAACCTGGTGTCCCTGGCTGGAAACCAGGGTGCACCTTGGACCCGCTAGGGGTACCCCAAGGAGAGCAGAAAGCCCATGAGGGGAAGGTGAGGCACCTGCGGCAGAGAAAGAAGAAAAACCGCGCAGCGGAGAAGCGGGGCCTGGGTCCCCCACTGACGAAAGTGTCTTTCCGTCAGCCCTTGAGCTGGGTCCCGAGGACGCTGACATCCCTGGTTCGAGCCCACGCTGCGCCTCAGGCTGCTACGAGTACCCCAAGGAGGAAAGAAGGCCCAAAAGTTTCAGCTGAGGTTTGAGGCAGGAGAGATGAGGCACCTGTGGCAGAAAAAAAAAAAAAAAAAAAAAAAAACGCGCAGCGGAGAACTGGTGCCTGGGTCTCCCAGGGACGAAAGTGCCTTCCCATCAGCCACTGCGCTTGGCCCCATGGAACCTGGCCTCCATGGTTCGAGCCCAGGGTGCGCCTCGGGCCGCTAGGGGTACCCCAAAGTGTGCAGAAGGCCCATGAGGGGAAGGTGAGGCACCTGGGGCAGAGAAAAAAAACAACAAAAAACCTCGCCGCGGAGAAGCGGGGACTGGGTCCCCCCAACGGACGAAAGTGTCTTCCCATCAGCCCTTGCGCTGGGCCACAGGGACCCTGGCTTCCCTGGTTCGAGCCCACAGTGCACCTCGGGCCGCTAGGTGTACCCCAAGGCAGACAGAAGGCCCATGAGGGGAAGGTGAGGTTTGAGGGAGGAGCGGTGAGGCACCTGTGGCAGAAAAAAAAAACGCCCCACGGAGAAGCAGGGCATGGGTCCCCCACGGACGAAGGTGCCTTCCCATCAGGCCCTGCGCTGAGCCCCGTGGACCCTGGCGACCTTGGCTCAAACCCAGGGTGCGCCTCGGGCCGTTAGGGGTACCCCGAGGCGGGCAGAAAGCCCATGAGGGGAAGTTGAGGTTTGAGGGAGGAGAGGTGAGGCACCTGTGGCAGACAAAAAAAAAAAAAAAAAAAAAAAACCGCACCGCAGAGAAGCGGGGCCTGGGTCCGCCACGGACGAAAGTGTCTTCCCATCAGCCCTTGCGCTGCGCCCCGGGGACCCTGACGACCCTGATTCGAGCCGAGGGTGCGCCTCGGTCCACTAGGGGTACCCCAAAGCAGGCAGATGGCTCATGAGGGGAAGGTGAGGTACCTGGGGCAGCCAAAAGAAAAAAAAAACTGCGCCGCGGAGAAGCGGTGCCTGGGTCCCCCACGGACGAAAGTGTCTTCCTATCAGCCCTTGCACTGGGCCCCGGGAACCCTGGCGTCCCTGGTTCGACCCCATGGTTCGCCTCGGGCCGCTAGGGGTACCCCAAGGTGGGCAGAAGGCCCATGAGGCGAAGGTGAGGTTTGAGGGAGGAGAGGTGAGGCACCTATGGCAGAAAAAATAAAAACGCGCCACGGAGAAGGGGGGCCTGGGTCCCCCACGGACGAAAGTGCTTTACCATTAGCCCCTGCGCTTGGCCCCGTGCACCCTGGCGACCCTGGTTCGAACCCAGTGTGCGCCTCGGGCCGCTAGCCGTACCCCAAAGTGGGCAGAAGCCCATGAGGGGAAGGTGAGGCACCTGGGGCGGAGAAAAAAGGAAAAAACCTCGCCACGGAGAAGGGAGGCCTGGGTTCCCCACGAAAGAAAGTGCCTTCCCATCAGACCCGGTGCTAGGCCCCAGGGACCCTGGCATCCCTGGTTCGAGCCCAGGGTGCGCCTTGGGCCGCTGGGGGTACCCCAAGGCGGACAGAAAGCCCATGAGGGGAAGGTGAGGCACCTGTGGCAGAAAAAAAAAAAAACCGCGCCGCAGTGAAGCTGGGCCTGTGTCCCCCACTGACGAAAGTGCCTTCCCATCAGGCCTTGCGCTGGACCTCGCGGACACTGGGGACCCTGGTTCGAGCCCAGGGTGCGCCTTGGGCCCGCTAGGGGTACCCAGAAGCGGGCAGAAGGCCCATGAGGGGTAGGTGAGGCACCTGAGGCAGAGAAAAAAAAAAACTGTGCCGCGGAGAAGCGGGGCCTGGGTACCCCACGGAAGAAAGTGTCTTCCCATCAGCCCCTGAGCTGGGCCCAGGGGACCCTGGCATCCCTGGTTCAAGACCAGGGTGCGCTTCGGGCCTCTTGGGGTACCCCATGGCGGGCAGAAAGCCTATGAGGGGAAGGTGAGGTTTGAGGGAGGAGAGGTATGGCACCTGTGGCATAAAAGAAAAAAAAAACCGCGCCACACCCTTGCGCTGAGCCCCAGGGACCCTGGCACCCCTGGTTCGAGTCCAGTGTGTTCCTAGGGCGGCTAGGGGTACCGCAAGTCGGACAGAAGGCCCATGAGGGGAAGTGAGGTTTCAGGAAGTAGAGGTGAGGCACCTGTGGCAGGTGTCCATCTGTAAACTGTTTATCCATGTGAGCCCTGATGTCCACCAGGGGCTGGATGTCCCCCTGGGGCTAGATGTTCGCCTGGAGCCTGGTGCCCACCTGGGGCCTGATATCCACGAGAGGCTTAGTTATCCACCTATGGCCATCTGGAGCCAGAGGCCCACCTGAGGTCTGGTGTACACCTAAGGCCTGATCTCTACCTGGGGCTTGGGTGTTCATGTGGGGCCTGATGTCCACCTAAGACCATGTGTTCACCTGGAGCCTGGGTGACCATCTGGGTTATGATGTTCAGCTGGGGCCCAGAGTTCAGCTGGGGACTGGGTCAACCTTCTGCCTGATGCACACCTGGGGACTAGGTACCCACCTGGGCTCCAGTGTTCACTGGGGCCTGCTATCTACCTGGGGCCTTGTATTTACCTAGGACCAGTGCATCCATCTGGGGTCTGAGTGCCCTCATGGAGCCTGGAGTTTTCCTGGGGACTGGGGTCTGCCTTAGGCTTAAGTGTACATCTGTGGCCTCGTGTCCACCTTGGGACAGATGTCCACCTGGGGACGGATATTCAGTAGGGGCCTGAGTGTCCACCTGGTTTGTGATGTCTACCTGGGGCCTGGTGTTCATCTGAGGTGTGATACCCACCTGGGGCCTGGACATTTGCCTGGAACCTGATGTACAGCTGGTGCCTGAAGTTCATCTATGCCTGGTGTCTCCCTGGGGCCAGGTAGTCAACACAGGGCCTGAAGACCTTCTAGAGTTCAGTGTTCACCTGGGGTCCGAAGTCCACCTAGGGCTTGGGTGTCCAAATAGGGCCTGGTGTCAGCTTGAGATTTGTGTATTTACCTAGGGCCTGGTTGTCCACTTGGGGCTTGATTTTTTACTTGGTTTTTGTGTTAATCTGGGGTCTAGTGTCCACCTGGGGCCTGGGTATCCACCTAGGGACTATTGTCCAGCTGGAGACTAATGACTACCTATGGCCTGGTAATCACCTAAGGCTTTGTTTCACTTAGGTACTTGGTGCCAAACTGTTGCCTGCTGTTCACCTGGGGTATGGTGTCCACCTGGGGTCTGGATGTCAGCCTGGGGCTTGTTGTATACCTGTATCTTAGATATCCAGATAAGGGTCTGTTTTCTGCTTAGGTGCAGCAGTCCATCTGGTGCTTGAGTGTCAACCTAAGGCTTGATGTCTATGTTGGACCTAGGGTTCACCTGAGGCCTGATATCCACCTGGGGCCTCAATGTCCAAATGGGGCCTGATGCCCATCTGGGCCCTGGGTGTCCACCTGCAGCATGGATGTCCACTGATACTTTATGTCCACCAGGGGCCTAATGTCCACCTAAAACCTGGAGTTCACCTGGGGTCTGATGTTCAGCTGAAGACCGGATGTCCACCTGGAGCCGAGGAATCCACCCAGGGACTGGTGTTGAACTGGGGCCTGATGACCACCCGGGGACAAGGTACACACCAGGCTTGATGTCCACCTGTCACCAGATGTCCACCTGAGTCCTGATGTCCATCTTGATCCTGAGTGTCCACATTGGGCCTGATGTCCAGCTGGGGCCTAGATACCCACTGGGGGCTTCCTGTTAACCTGGGGACTGGTGTCATTCTGGGGCCTAATGACCACCTGGGTTGTATTATTCACCTAGGGCCTGGTGTCCACTTGGGGCTTGAGTGTAACCTTGGACCTGGCACCCACATAGGATTGGGTATCAGACTGGCCCCTTGGTGTCCAGTTAAGACATCATGTGAACCTGGCTCCTGAGTGTCCACTTGGGGCCAAATGACTACTGGGGGCCTGAATGTCAACCTAGAATCTGAGGTTTACTAGGGGCCTAGGTATCCACCTGGGGCCTAATGTCCACCCGAGCCTGGGTGTCAACCTGGGGCCTGATGTAAACCTCTAGTTCAGTATCCACCTGGGGCCAGATGTCTTCCTAGAGACTTATATTCACTTTTGACCTGATGTCCACCTGGGGACTTGCTATCCATCCATGGTCTGATATTCACCTGGAGACAGATGTTCAACTGTGGCCAGAAGTGCTCCTGGGGTCTGGGCTTCCACCTGGAGCCTGATGTTTAGCTGGGGCTAGAGTTCACATGGAGAATGATGTCCACCTGAAGTTTGATGTTTACCTGGGGCCTGATACCTACCTGGTGCCCAAGTATTCTCATGTGCCTAACGTCCACTAGTTGGCCTGGTGTTCATCTGAGGGCTTGGTGTCAACCAGTGGCTTTATGTACACCTGGATTCTAGTGTCCTCCTGGGGTCTTATGCCTACCAGGAGTCTGGTGTACCTCTGGGGTCTAGTATCCACCTGGAGTCTGGGCGTCCACCTGGAGCCTAATGTTGAGGTTAGACTGAGTGTCAGCCTGAGGCCTGATGTCTACTAGGGCATAGGTATTCACCTGGGGCTTGTTGTTTACCTGGGGACTAATGTCAACCTTGAGCCTAGGTATCCACCTGGGGAATAGTGTCCAGTTGCAGCCAGATGTCCACCTATGGCCTGAAGCATGGTTGTTATCCTAAGGCCTTGTATTAGTCCATTTTCACAGTTATAAAAAACTACCTGATATTGGGCAACTTATGAGGAAAAGAGGTTTAACTGACCCACAGTTCTTCAGGCTTAATAGGGAGCATGACTGGGCGGGCTCAGGACACTTACAATCATGATGTAAAGCCAAGAGGAAGCAAGCCCTTTTTACCATGTGGGAGGAGGAGGGAGACAGAATGGGGATGTGCTACACACTTTCAAATAACCAGGTCTCGTAAGAACTCTATCACGAGAACACCAAGTGGGAAGTCTGCCCCCATGATTCAATCACCATTCACCAGGCCCATTCTTCAACCCGTGGGGATTACAATTCAACATGAGATTTGGGTGGAGACATAGAGCCAATATCAGGCCTGATGCCCGCCTGGAGTCATGTCTACCTGAGGCCTTATGTAGACATGAGGCCTGGGCATTCACCTAGGACCTCATGTTAAGATAGGGGCTGGAGTTCTTTTGGTGCCTAGTGTATACCTGGGGCCCAGATGTATAACTAGAGCCTGATGTTTCAGATGGAAACCTGGGCCCCAGGTGCTCATCAGATCCCAGGTGAAAACTCAGGCTTCAGGTGCACATCAGACTCCAAGTGGACACATAGGCCCTAGGTTGATACCAAGATTTCAGGTAGACTCTGGGTCCCAGAAAAACACCCTGCCCTAGGTGGACAGCTGAACCTGAGTAGACATCAGGCCCCAGATTGACATCTGGCCTCAGGTAGATTCCTTGGCCCAAGGTGAATACTCAGTCTCCAGCCCTAGGGGAATTCAGTCTTAGGTGATTAAGGACTGGCGTTCCTCTGGGGCCTCATGTCTACCTGGGCCCTGGGAGTGCACATGGAGCCAGATGTCTATAAAGGGCCTGAGTGTCCACTAGGGCCTGAGGTTCACCAGGAGCATAGACATCCACCTAGGACCTCATGTCCACCTAAAACCTGGTGTTCACCTGGGGCCTGGGTGACAACCTGGGATCTGATGTTCACCTGAGGCCCAGAGTTCAGCTGGTGCCTATGTCAGCCTGGCACCTGATGCACACAAGAGGACTAGGTGCCCACCTGAGGACTGGTGTTCATGGGGAACTGGTGTTCAGCTGTGGCTTGATGAGCAACTGGGTCCTGGTGTCCTCCTGGCAACTGATGTCCACCTGGGACTGCATGCTTACCTAGGGCCTGGTGTTCCCCTGGGGCCTGGTGTGCCCCTGAGATCTGGGTCCACCTGGGCCTAGTATCCACTTGGGGCCTCATATCCATCTGGAACATCATGTCCACTTGGGGCCTTGTAGTTACCTAGGGACTGGGTGTCCTTCTGGCACTTGAGTGTCCTCCTGGGGCCTGGGGTTCTCCTGGGGCCTGGGTGTACATCTCTGGCCTGATGTCCACCTTGGGTGGATGTCCACCTGGGGACAGATGTTCGCTTGTGGCTTGAGTGTCCATCTCGTGTCTAATGTCTACCTGGGGCCTGGTGTTTGCCTGAGGCCTTATATCCACCTGGGGCCTGGGCATCCATTTGAGGCCTGATGTCTACCTAAGACCCGGTGTTTAACTGGGGCACAGATTTCTTCCTGGAGCCCGACGTTCATCTGGAGCCTGAAGTTCACCTGTGCCTGTTGTCTACCTGAGGCCTATGTGTCAACCTAGGGCCTGATGACCACCCTGAGTTCAGTGTTCACCTGGGGCCTGACATCTGCCTGGAGTCTGGGTGTCCACATAGGGCCTGATGTTGGCTTGGGACCAAAGTATTTACCTAGGGCCTGGGTGTCTACTTACAGCCTGACTTCTACATGGTTCATTGTGTCAACCTGGGGCCTGATGTCCACTTAGGGCCTAGGTAAGCTCCTTATGACTAAAGTCCACATGGGGGCTGAAACCATCTCAGACCTTGAACCTAGGGCTTAGTGTCGACCTGAGACCTGGTGACCCCCTGGGGTCAAGGTATCCACCTTGGGCCTGATGACCAACTGGGGTTTAAGGATCTACCTAGAGACTGGTGTCAACCTGGAACCTGATGTCCACTTGGGGTCTGGTGTACACCTTGGGCCTGATGCCCACCTTGGCACAGGTGTACACTTTGGGCCTAGTGTGCACCTGAAGCCTGGCTGTCAACCTGGGTCTTGATGCACACCTTTAGTCAAGTGTTAAACTGGGGCCTGATGAAATACTGGAGCCTGATTTACACCTGTGTACTGGGTCTCCACCTGGGGCCTGATGTCCACCTGCAGCCAGATATCCACCTGGCACCAGATGTCTTTGAGGAATCTGGGTGTCCACCTTGAAAATGATGTATTCCAAGAGACTAGGCATGCACATTGGGCCTGGGGTCCACCTGGGTCCTGATGTCTACCTGAGGCTGGTATTGAACTGGGGCCTGTGTGTTCACTTGGAGCCTGATGTTCATTTGGAACCTGGTGTTCACCTAGGACATGGGTATCCACCTGGATCCTGATTTTCAAGTGGGGAGTGGATATAGACCTGGGAACTGATGGCCACCTATGCTATAAGTAACCCAACCACCTGGGGCCTGGTGTTCACCTGTGGCCTGATATCCACCTGGTACCTGTGTGTCAATCTAGTGCCTGGTGTCCACTTGAGGACTAGGCAGACACCTGGGGCCTGGTGTTCATCTTGCACCCAGTGTCCACCTGGACCCTGTGTATCAACCTGTGGCCTAGGTGGCCACTTGGAGCTTTACGTGCACCTGGGGCCTGAGAGGTTCCTAGGATCTGATGACCACTGGGGCCCAGGTATCCACCTGGGATATCAGGCTTCAAGTGTACACCCAGGCTCCATGTGGACACCAGGCCAGGAGAACGCCAGCCCTTATCTGAACATCAGGTCCTAGATGGACTCCCAGGCTCCATGTGTACATCAGGCCCCAGGTATACACGGGACTCCA
This sequence comes from Homo sapiens, assembly GCF_000001405.40. Lineage (NCBI taxonomy): Eukaryota > Metazoa > Chordata > Mammalia > Primates > Hominidae > Homo > Homo sapiens. Next base: position 40,118,186 of record NC_000009.12, read on the forward strand.
GGTGGACACCAGCACTCAATTGGATACACACCCTGAAGGTGGATACCAGGCCCCACGTGAATTCCTACACTCCAGGTGAACATCAGGTCCCAAGTGGATACCTGGACCCCAGGTGGATACCAGTCTCTAAATTAATACCAGGCCTCAGATGGTCCTTAGGAGCCATGTGGGCATTCGTCATCAGGAAGTTACCTAGGCCCAAAGTGGACATCAGGCCCCATGTTGACACAAGATCTAGTTGGAAGTCAGGCACCAGGTGGACACCCAGGCCCTAGGTAAATACTTAGGTCCCAAGTTGACAGCAGGCCCTATGTGAACACTCAGAACTCAGGTGGACATCAGGCCTCAGGTGGACATCTGAGTTCATCTGGAACCTCGTGTTACAGGCCCCATGTAAACACCAGGCCTTAGGTGGATACCCAATCTCTAGGTGGACATCAGAGCTCAGATTGACACAAAGACTCCAGTAGACATAATGTACCAATGAATATCCAGGCACCCGGTAAATACCCAGGCCCCAGATTGACACCACGGTCTATGTGGACACACAGGCCCCGGGTAGTAAACAGGCCCAAGGTGGACACTGGACTGGACATCAGGTCCTAGGTTGACAACCATGCTCCAAGTTGACACCAGGCCCCAAGCGAACATCTGGCCCCAGCTGGACACTAGTCCCCTGGTGAATACCTAGTCTCAAGGTTGACATCAGACCCTATGTGAACACTAGACCCCAGATAAACACTTATACCCTAAGTGGACATCAGGCCTCAGGTGGTTACCCAGTCCCAAGGTGAACATCAGGACCCCGATGGCACCAGTTATCAAGTGGATTCCTAGGCCCCAGGTGAATATCAAGCCCTAGGTGGATACCGAGCCCCAGGTGGATACCTGGATCCTGGTAGACATCAGGTCCCAAGAGGACACTAGAACCCAGGAGTACATTAGGCCACAGGTTAACACGAAGGCCCCAGATGAATACCAGGCCAACTTGTGGACATCAGGCCTGAGAAGGGTCCTGTGGACATCAGGCCTGAGAAGGGTCCAGGTGGATATCAGGCCCCAGGTGAACATCCAGCACTCAGATGAACATTAAGCTTCAGGTAGGCATCATGCCTCAGGTGAACTCCAGGCCCCAGCTGAACATCAGGCCCCAGGTGGATGCCCAGAATCCGGGTGCACATCTGGCCACAGTTGGACATTCAACCCCAGGTGACCATCAGGCCATGGGTGAATACACGGTTTCCAGGTAGACATCAGATCAAAGGGGAACATCAGTCCCCCAGTGGACATCAGGCCCAAGGTGGACACTCAACTAGAGGTTTACATCAGGCCACATGTTGACACCTAGTCCCAGGTGGACATCAGGCCCCAGCTAGATAGATACCTAGTCTTCCAGTGAATTTCAGACACCAGGTTGACATTCAGGCCCCCAGTGGTCATCTGGCCTCATGCGAACACTCAGACCCCAGGTGCAAATGATGTCTCAACTGGATACCAAACCCCTTGTTTGATAACCAAGGCCCAGGTGGACACCATGTCCAAGGCTGACACTCAAGCCCTAAGTGAATACCAAACTCTAGGTGAATAATTCAACCCAGGTGGTCTTTAGGACTCAGCTGGATACCAGTCCCCAGGTTAACACAAGGCCCCCAGTGGGCACCTAGGCACCAGCTGGACATCAGGCCCTATGTAAATACCCGGGTCTCAGGTGAACACCATGCCCCAGGTGGACATCAGGCACTAGGTGAACACGGGGCCACAGGTGGACATCTAGCCCCTGGGCAACATCCAGCCCCAGGCGGACATAACCATTTCCATGGATAAACCATTCCCAGGTGGATATCAGGCCTCAAGAGGATGGCAGTCACCAGGTAGACATCAGGCCTCAGATAGACACCAAGGTCCCAGATGTACAGCAGGCCCCAACTGAACCCCAGACTCATGTGGACATCAGGCCACAGGTAGACACCAAGCCTTAGGTAGATACCTAACTTCAGGTAGTCATCAGACCCAAGGTGGACACCCAGTCCCCAGGTGGACAGTCAGGCCCCAGGCACACATCAGGCCTTAAGTGGACACCCAGGCCCCAGGTTGATATCCAGTTCCCAGGCGATCACCAAGCCCCAGGTAGACACCAGGCCGTAGGTGAGCAACAGGATGCAGTAGGTCATCAGGCCACAGCTGGATACCAGTCCCCGGTGATCACAAGGCCCCAGTGGGACATAGATCTAAGGCAGACATCAGGCCCCAGGTGGACATACAGATCTGAGGTGGAATTCACCCTGAGGGGGACATTCGGCCCCAGGTACGCATCAGGCCTCAGCTGAATAACCAGTCCCCAGGTGGACATTAACCCACAGGTCAACCACAGTCCCCAGGTTGATATCTGGTCCCCAGGTGGCTACTCAATCTGCAGGGTAACATTAGGCCCCTGTAGGATCCCAGGCCCCAAGTGGATTCCTAGGCCCCTGGTGAACATCAGGTGCAGGTGTCCAAGTAGGCCCTGGGTGGACATAACTGTGTACAGGTAAGGAGTTGACCTGTGGGGAGGATGAGCAGTCAGCAGCCCACTGGGGTCCTGAGTAGGTCTTCTGGAAGGAGGAGGCTGAGGGGATGGAACCTTAAAGAAGCAACCTCACTTCCTTGGCAACAGACCCTAACAGAACTTAGAATTCTGGTAACCAGGCCAGGCACGGTGGCTCACACCTGTAATCCCAGCACTTTGGGAGGCTGAGGCAGGAGGATCATGAAACCAGGAGATCGAGACCAGCCTGAACAACATGGTAAAACCACATGTCTACTAAAAATGCAAAAAACAAACAAGGTCAGGAGATCGAGACCATCCTGGCTAACACAGTGAAACCCCGTCTCTACTAAAAATGCAAAAATTAGCCAGGCGTAGTGGTGGGCGCCTATAGTCCCAGCTACTCGGGAGTCTGAGGCAGGAGAAAGGCATGAACCCAGGACACGGAGCTTGCAGTGAGCCCAGATCACGCCACTGCAGTCCATCCAGCCTGGGTGACAGAGCGAGACTCTGTCTCAAAACAAACAAACAAACAAAAAACAAACACAAAAAAACTAGCCAGGTGTTGTGGTGCGTGTCTCGTGCCTGTAATCCCAGCTACTCAGGAGACTGAGGCAGGAGAATTGATTGAACCCAATAGGCGGAAGTTGCAGCGAGCCGAGATCATGCCACTGCACTCCACCCTGGCCAACAGAATGAGACAATGTCTCAAAAAAAAAAAAAAAAAAAAAAAAGAATCCCGATAACCAGGCACCAGGCACCCACATCCTAGAGTTAGACCCATAGCCAGCTCACTTGGTGGGAGATGCTCAAGAGAGCAAGATGTTCTTGTGCTGCATCCCCACATCTCAAGTCTCCTGCTTCAGGAATGGCAGGAGTGAGAGCCTTTCTTTTCCAACGATGCCCTTGTAGGCTCATCCCTCACCCCAGATGTCTCTGGCCATTTGACAGAAGGCCCCCCCAGGTACCACAGGACAGGAGTCACCAGGTAGACATCAGGCCCCAGATGGAGCTACCAGGCCAGGCCTCACCAGTGATCCCACCAGGGCCACATCTGCACATTGTCCTTGTCCAGCTGGAGCCTCTGGAGCTCATTGAGACACAGGCACATGGTGAGGTCACCTGCAGTCTGGAAGTCTTTCCAGGGACAATGTTTTCAGGCTGAAATTCCTTTAAATTCAGTGAGGTTGTTTTCATGTTTGGAAATTCCAGTGGAAAGTGAGTGATATTGGTGACCTCTCTCCTTTTTCAGCTCCTGCTTCAGGTGCAGAAACACAGCTATTTCCAGTGCCAGCTGTTGAGCCAGTGCCAGCACCAGGGGCAGAGCCCCTTCCAGGGACAGCGCTGGAGCTAGAGGAACCTCCAGAGCCTTCCTGCCGCTGCCCTGGGACTGCACAGGACCAGCCCAGTGAGAAGCTGCCTGACTTCATGGCACCTCCTGTAGAGCCACCGGCCTCAGCCCTGGAGCTGAAAGTGTGGCTGGAGCTAGAGGTGGCAGAGAGGGGGTGACCAGCACAGCTCCAGCCAGCAGCTCCCACACTGCTCCCAGTCCTGGGCACAGTGGAAGCTATGGAGGCAGAGACCAGGGTGTGCAACCTGGGCTCCTCTGCCTCACTGGAGAGGGACTTCTCTCATTCAGCAGAGCAGCAGCCCTGCTGCTGAAGGCCCTGCTGCTACTGCTGCTGGGGGTGTTTGCCTGCCTGCAGGAGGTGCTGGAGAGCAAGAAAAGGAGCCTGTGAGCAGGGGTTCCAGCAGGTCCTCCGGCTCCCAGAGGTGACCTCCTCCTCCAGGAATGGAGGTTTGCCCTCAGCTGGGCATCTGGGCCATTTGCCTCTAATGTGCTGCCCAGGATGGCCTCTTCTTGACAGGTGGACAGGGGTTGAGGGGGCCAGGGGGCATCTCCAAAGGAAGCTCTTAAACTCAGCAGCAGCACTCCAGAATCTCCATGCCTGCACCTGCCCAAGGATTTATTCATAGCTTAACTAAGAATTTCAAATTTCTACCATAACACTGAAATAAAGTTTGACTTTTTGAAACTTCTATGACTTCTTTCACTCCCTAATATTGTAGATGGTGGTTTTGAGGTGACGTTGAAAACCTCTGATAGTTGTGTGTTTTGTTGTGGTTCTTTGGGTGACTAAATTACCATCTGATCAAGTGATATTGAAAACCCTTCAGGTATGGCTTTTAGAAGACTTTGACCTATTTTTGCTTGTGTTGACTCTCCCTCCAGCTTTGTGGAAAGAGGGATCATGTAGGTTCAATTCTCAGGCAGATCAGTCACCTTTTGCCATCAAAGTTTTAGCATCCATTTCGAAAATTTGGTGTACAAGTTGATATTTTGGTGTTTTTAGCTAATCTGGGGTCAAAACAGAATGCCATAGATGAGGAAGCTTATAAACAAATTTGTTTCTCTCAGTTCTGGAGATGGCAAAATTCAAGGTCAAGTGGTTAGCAGATTCTGTGTCTGGTGTGGGCTTGCTTTGTGGTTCATAGCCATGTTTCTACCATGTCCTCACATGACAGAAGAGATGAGGGAGCTCTCTATGGTGCCTTCAATAGGGGCTACTAATCCCACTCTTGTGGTCCCTGCCTTCATGATCTAATCATTCCCCAAGGCCCTACCTCCAAATATCATCACATAGGGAATTAGATTTCAACACTTGAATTTGAGAGGGACAATAACATTTGGTCTATAGCATCAGGTTACCCAGAGCCTTATGCATTCGGAGGAAATCCAAAATCTTCTGTAAGTATTTGCTGGTCCCCTCTGGGCTTAGGGAAATCTTTAATTGCAGCTCTTGATTCAGCTTGGTCCAAGCCGAAATTCTACGTTTGCCTGGGTAACTTGTTCATGGGACAGAGGGAAGTATAGAGGCAACTGACCATTTGGAGTTTTAGGACAATTGATGGAAGAGGGCTTGGCATCTGGATGAGAAGTGGAGGGAGAATAGAACAAAGGCACAGAAGGAGAGAGCACAGTGAGAAAGGGGAAGAGGGACATCTGGACATAAGGGCCAACTGGAGGGCAGGGAAGGTAATTTTCCTTGCATTTTAAACTCAGACCACATATCACATCAGAATCACCTCAGGGAGACGTTTTCAATGCATATTCCTGGGTTTCTTCTCTTGGAATTTTTTATTAAATCTTGAGTTGTGCTGATTTATCCATATTTATCATAAGAATTTTGGATAATTCTTACTTTGAGAGGCCCAGGCAGTGGATCACTTGAGGTCAGGAATTCAAAACCAGCCTGGCCAACATGGTGAAACCTCATCTCTACTAAAAATACAAAAATTAGCCAGGCATGGTGGTACATGCCTGTAGTCCCAGCTACTTGGGAGGCTGAGGCAGGAGAATCACTTGAATCAGGGAGGCAGAGATGACAGTGAGCTGAGATCACACCACTGCACTCCAGCCTGGGCAACAGTAAGACTCCATCTCAAAAAAAAAAAAAAAAAAAAAAAAAGAATTGTGGATAATTCTGATGCAATTAGAAAACAAAGCAGAGCTTGACAACCACTGGGTTGGGACGTATATCAGGAAGACATTTGATTATGTAAAATAACTGCAAAACAAACTGAAGGGGAATTATTTTAAAATGCTTGAATATAATTATATAATTCAACTCTTCTTATGTATGTAGTTTGACCACATATTTGATGTCTGCTATACTAAGATTGGAAATGTGTAGAAGTTTTTTTAAAAAATCAGGTAGAAGCACAGAAAAAAGGAGTTGGAGAGAAAAGAAAACTAGCTATTGTCTGGTAACAAGAGAAGAGAAGGGAAACGAAGTAGCATATTTTTGTTCATTGATGGCATCTAAATTATGATCCCAAATATTTTTTTCCTAAGAAATCCAATAATACAAGTATTCAGAGTGGAGTACCAACACTGATTTACTGGGAAAGAGAAGTGTACTCTGTTTTGCTACACAATGTTGAGGGAGAAGGAAAGGAAAATTATTTGAGTAAACAAGTAAGAGACTGGTCCTCAGGGAAGCTGTCTGCCTGAAAAATCACAACTACTGCACCTACAGATAAGCCCTGAACAGATAAGCATGCAGGGTCCAGCACAGATGCCTTCTGTTCTTTGTGTATTTGGCAAGCTCCCAGGTAAAATTTTCCTCCCTTTTTCAGGCATATACTTGGCGGTCTCTGTGGGAACTTGCGCAGGGAGGAGGGGGGCTTACCTAAAACAAACCCACAGTTACAGAAACAAGAGAAGCCCACTTTGTGCTTGACTAGAGACATACCCACAGCTGGATATATAAAGGGAATTGTGCCGACAGTTTTATATATAGCTGAGAGGAGTTTCTTATAAAAGCTTTTTGATTCAACTGTAAAAACGGCAATCCACTTGGACGCCCTTGTCTGCTGCAGAGAGCTTCCTCCTTTTGCTTGTTAAACTTTCACTCCCACCTCACTTGTGTGTCCCCGTCCCTTAATCATCTTGGTGGTGAGATGAAGAACGCCAGGTGATACCTCACAAGAGAGACTGCTACGTTGTGGTGCATTGGCGAGACTGCAACTTTAAGAAGTGTGACTTTTATTGCTGCTGAATTATTTTATCTCCTACCCAATTGAAAATAAAGGATATAAAGTGCTTAGGTTGAACACAAAGTCCTCTGCTCTAGGTAACATCTTCAGCAGCCACATTAGCAGAGGCATGGGTGGTAATGGTGGAGTAGATGTCTCTTTGCTTCTGACAGGGTGTCTGCTTATGTGTTAAACAAAATAGTATGGTATATATTTCATTAAGAAATCTGCTAAAAAATGAAGTAAAACAGGTTCATGTTCTTAAGAGGCACAGGATTTGCTACGGCAGCAAGACCAAAAGGCTTAAGTAACAAAAATGTGCATAGTAGTTACAAACATTTTCATCTAAACAAAACAATGTGAGCATCTGCATATGACAATAACTTATGCAAAAAAATATTTTTAACTGAGATTGAAATCATTTTATACATAACAAATGTTATCACTGTATTCTCAGGTAATATATTGTTTGTATATAGATGTTATAAATAATAACTTATTTAAGTTATTCATCATTTATACAACAATTAATTCTTTGGAATCTACAAAATGCTGGTTTTGTTCTAGGCACTGAATGTACAAATTGATTTAAAATATGTGTTCTTAGAGTGTGGTAGATTAAAAAATACAAAATAGGCCGGGCACAGTGGCTCACACCTGTAATCCCAGCACTTTGGGAGTCCAAGGTAGGTGGATCACCTGAGGTCAGGAGTTCGAGACCAGCCTGACCAACATGGTGAAACCCCATCTCTACTAAAAATACAAAATTAGCCGAGGGTGGTGGCACAAGCCTGTAGTCCCAGCTACTCGGGAGGCAGAGGCAGGACAATCGCTTGAACCCGGGAGGTGGAGGTGGCAGTGAGCCGAGATTGCACCATTGCACTCCAGCCTGGGCAACAAGAGCAAAACTCTGCCTAATACATATACATATATTATGCATAGATACATATATACATATGTGTGTATATATATACATATGTGTATATATAACCTATATACATATGTGTGTATATATAACCTATATACATATGTGTGTATATATAACCTATATACATATGTGTGTATATATAACCTATATACATATGTGTGTATATATAACCTATATACATATGTGTGTATATATAACCTATATACATATGTGTGTATATATAACCTATATACATATGTGTGTATATATAACCTATATACATATGTGTGTATATATAACCTATATACATATGTGTGTATATATAACCTATATACATATGTGTGTATATATAACATATACATATGTGTGTATATATAACATATATACATATGTGTGTATATATAACATATATACATATGTGTGTATACATATATACGTAATATATAATATATGCATATGTATTATATACATATATACATAATATATAATATATGCATATGTATTATATACATACATACATAATATATAATATATGCATATGTATAATATACATATATATCTGTCTAATATATATACATATATACATATATTAAATATATATACATATATACATATATTAAATATATATACATATATACATATATTAAATATATATACATATATACATATATTAAATATGTATACACATATATGTTAGAAGTTGTACTGCTGAAAACAAGAGCTACCAATAAAAAAATTTCAGGAAACCTAGTGTGATTATTTTTAATAGAAATGGATATTTTAATACAGGTCTCTTGTTTTTTCTTGTGGAAATAAATGACAAGATGGAATTTCTGGGTGTTTGGTATCTGAATATTTAAGTATAGCAGGTATGGTCAGTTTTTCAAAGGCATTTTACCATCTTACTTGTCCATCGGTAACTCATAAGATATGTGGAACAACGTCCTCTCCAACAACCTCTAGTATCAGTCTTTGTAAAGTTTGTCAATTAAATGGGTGTTTTTTTGTTTTTGTTTTTCTTTTTGAGACCGTCTCACCCTGTCACCCAGGCTGTAGTGCTGCTGCGTGATCTTAGCTCACTGCAGTCTTTGCCTTCCAGGTTCAAGTGATTCTCCTGCCTTGGCCTCTCAAGTAACTGGGACTACAGGTGCCCCCCAACACACCCAGCTAATTTTTATATGTTTAGTAAAGACAGGGTTTCACCATATTGGCCAAGCTGTTCTCAATCCTGACCTCAGATGGTCCACCTGTCTCAGCCTCCTAAAGCGCTGGGATTACAGTCATGAGCCACCGCACTTGGCTGGTTTTCTCTCTCTCTCTCTCTCTCTCTCTACTTTAAGTTCTGGGATAAATGTGCAGAACATGCAGTTTTGTTACACAGGTATACATGTGTCATGGTGGTTTGCTGCAACATGGGTGTAGGTTTTGCAGGTAATTATTATATTATTAAAAGATAACAGAATACCTAGCTAAAAAAAAATGCGAGGAGGCATTGATGGGCACATGTTTACTGAGCACATCCTGACTCCAGAATTAAAAATCCAATTTATGCCTCTGCAGTCCAATAAAATTTTTCCTTAAGAATCCAGGGATCAGACTTTCATCTCAGCAACCACTCCAATATGGTTTCTCACCTACTCATTCCAACGAGCTGCTCATATCAAAATATAAGTGCTATCCATATTGTTAAATTATAAATTGAACCATAACTTCTCAGCCTTCATCTTAATTTATATATCAGCAGCATTTCACACAGTCTATCTCCACCTTCTCTTTGTAAAACTTTTTTATAGAATTCCAGAACACTTAACTTACTTTCCCCCCACCACGTTTTTGAAAATTACCCCTAGTCCTTTTTTGCAGGTTTCATCTTTACTATTTTTCAAATGTTAGAGGACCATTAGGCTCAGGAATTTCACTTCTTATCTTTCTTATCTTTGCTTTCTTACTAATTTTTGTGTCATTAATTTCCTGATATTTCATATTACACCTAAACACTGGACACTACACCCAACACTCCCTGACTTATCCACGTGGATGTCAGTTAGGAATCTCAAAATTAATATGTCTGTATGGAGCCACTGAAACTCCCCAAATTTGCTCTTCCCCATTCTGTTTAATGGCAACTCCCATTTTATAGTTTCTCAGCTCAATATTCTTGGTGTCCCCTTTTAATTCTGTCTCTGTAGCTCTGTCACTCTCTTCCTGTATCTGTCTGATTCTCTCCCTCTCTCTCCTCTCTCTCTTGCTCACTCTCACTCTTGCTCTCTCTCCCTGCTTCACACACACACAAACACAGACAGACACACACACACACACACACACATTTTCAGATCTGATGTGTATGGAATTCCTGCCAGCTTTACCTTTAAAGTGTAATAATTCCAAATGTTGTTTCCAAATTCACATTCCCACCCCCACCACTTGGTAACTATAGCGCTTCCCTCACAAGGCCAAGTGCAGAGATTTCTTGGGGAAATAATGAGAACTATTATACATTCTTATTTCAAGGACCCTTAAAATTATAGGATTACCATATTTGATACTAATTTAAGCTTCTGTCATTGCCCTTTTTTAAATCCAGTCTCCACACAGCTACCACAGTGTGCAAGTAGAAGTCTCAGCCATATCACCACACTCCTGCTTTAATGTCCCTACTCCATTGCTGCTTTTCTCCTTCAGAAGAGTTTAAGCTTAATGAAGCTGGGCAACTTTACATATTTTTCCACGAGCTGGAGATCACTTGGTGTAAGGTAAAAATGATCAGTAAATATTTTCAAATAACAGAATCCATGAATAATAGTTTTGTTTCTTTGAGAGTACATTAACTTTTAAAAATCAAGAAAATAGATTGGTCAAGAGAATTCTGCTTGTTTTGATTTTGTTATCCCTCGATTAGATTAACTGTGTTAGTATAAATGTCAGTGTGGAAAGCTATAAGCATTTCCTAAACTTTAAAATGAAAGGCATGGAATTTAAATATCTGCTCCCTTTATTCAAACAACCAAAAAACACAACTTTTTAAATATATTTTATGTATGTATGAAATCTAAATTTATTTTTCTCTCTTTATCCCTGAATACTTTTTAAAATTATTCATGTCCTCATTATTTTTTAATCCACTTCAGTCACATTTTAAAATATATTTTCGACTTCATTAAGAATATCTTTGTGTTCCACTGAATAGATTGCCAAATAATAAAACATTAGCAGTATAATTTCCTCATAAACTTTATTTAATTTGCTTGGTTAAACATAGATTTCCTACTCTCAACTCATAATTTCATTCAATAAGAAGTATAATATATTCTACTTGACATTTGCGGGGTTTTCATACCATGCATTTGTCATTGAAATTGGTTTTTGATATTTGAACCACTAGTTTATAATTGTATTGTTAGTTAGACTGGTCTGTAGAATCTTTCTTCGTTTTGATTCTGTGGTTTATTCATTATGGAGTAGCTGTGCTATTGTAAATTTTGAGGTCAAAAGCTTAAAACATTTTATGTATTTTCAAACAAAGTGGATGGCATTTAAATATCTATTCCTTAAAATTTGGAAGAAAGGTTAACACCATATAAACCCAGAGCCTGTTTTTTAGATTAGTAGCACGTAGACATTTTCAATTTCTTCTAAAGTTGAAAAAAATAAACATTTTATATTCATAGAATGCTTGATGAAGGTAAATATATTTAATTTTCACTTAAAATAAATTTGGTTACATTGAAAGGAAATTTGGCTAATGTAAGTTAGATACATTTCTAATTAAAACAATAATTTAAGATAAATAATGCTCAAAGAACAGTGGTCACTGCATTTATTCCAGAGAGAGGACATTTATCCTGATCTGACTGTAATAACGTAGTAGGTAGAACTGCTGGCGTCGACACCCAAGCAAGGAAGGGAAGCTGGTGTCTCAAGGGGTCCCGCTGAGATGGAAAGGGTTCAGGGCCCAGACTGTTGATGTCGCCTGGACCCAACCACCATGTCTCAGAAGAAGAAATGACACTCCCCTCCTGGTGCCACCCCAAACAAGGAGCTTAGCAGTGTTGCACACAGGACAGTCCTTGCAGGAGACACGTTTGACAAGTTGCTGAGGTGCCTGATGGGGCCAGGCTTTTTTTCATGAAATGAGTTTGCATCGTGAGGAAGCCTTTTTATTGGAAACCTGGCAGGGGTCCAATTTCCCCTTTGCCTTAACCCCGTAGGAGCACAGTAGACAGGGAGGAGGTCACCCAGGTGGCTGTTCCTGCTTGGCCCCCACTTCCCAGACCATTCCAGGCAGGGAGAGCCGCTGAGATCACTCCATGGGCTGCTCACATGTGGTCTGGACGCAGCCGCCCTCCTGTGCCTGGCAGGCAGCCTCTGGGCCATCAGAGGACCCACTGTGTGGTGATCAGTGGCCCACCACCTGCCCTTGTGGTGGGTGCAGTTCACAGGTGCTGCCCCGGTCCTGGCACACTGGCCTTCCCAGCCTGGCCCAGGATAGGGGATGTGAATGATCCTTGCCTGTGCCCCTTCAGACCATGTGAGGTTGGACACTCACTGCAGAAGTCCCTCCAGGTCCCTTTTCAACTGAGTTGTGGGGGACTTGCTTAGTCCTCATGCCCAGGGTCAGGGGAGGGGTGCAGAGTCTGCACCCTAAATCCCCTGGGGCCTGAGGGAGGTCTCCCAGGTGACCTCTGTCCTCTCCAGTGACATGAGTCCTCCCAGATGGCCTCAGCCCTCTCAGGTGACATGCTTCCATGGTGACTCTGGCTCTTGCAGGAGGTGGGCTACTACAGGGACATGAGCTGCCTAACTGCCATCCTCCTCCTGTATCTGCCAGAGGAAGACAACTTCTGGGCACTGGATCAGCGGATGGCTGAGGAGAGGCACTCCCTGCAGGGTAGGTGGACAGCTACCCCCAGGGCCTCACACAGCCGGGCCATGGGACGGCCACCCTGGCTGGGCGATCCTGACTTCCAGGCAAGGCAGTTTCCTTGCTTTCCAGCTTGTTAGGAGCCTTCAGGACATCCCTGCTGGGGGTCCCAGAGGGGCCCATAGCTGAACAGGGACCCTTTCACTTCAAGGCGGACACCTTTCATTCCCAACAGCAGAGGGCGCTGCAGCCTCCCCCTGGCCACCCTGTGTGTCCCAGAGCCACAGCCCTCTAGCCCTGAGTTCATGCAGGTGACTCTCACTTCCCCAAGAGTCCTCCTACCTCCCAGCTGGCCACACTCCCAGCTGCCCCCCTAGCCCACAGATGGGCCAATGAAGTCAAGATGGCAGTGTCTGCCCATCCCATGTCCCCTAGCCAGACCCCATGTCCAGGAGATGGCCATGTAGTCCTTCAGCACCCACCCGGTTCCCTCCACTAGCCACTGCCTGCCCCAGCCCTGCCTCACAGCCTCAAAGGCAGGCCTGCCCTCCTGGCACCTTTACCCAGGATGCTGCTGTGCAGTGCCTCCAGCTAGGGCCCATCTCCCTAGAGCTGAGACCACATGGTAGGGTCACCTGATGGAAGGGAGGAAGGCCTCAGGGTCCGGGGTCCCCTGCCACTGCCCAGCTCTTCCAGCTGATGGCTCCACATCTTGGGAGTGGGCTCTGATGCATGATGGGTCAGGGGCTTCTCAGGTTTCTACAGCCCAAATACTGCCCAGCTCCGGAGGCTCCTATCCCACCAGGAGTAGGTATAACACAAATCCTTCCCAAAGATCATGCGGTACCTGCTGAGTGGATGACACCCTCAACTCTTTCCCAGAGGCCCAGGGTCCCATGGGGCAGGGAAACAAGGGAAGATGGAGCTCCTCGAGGGCCTGACAAGGGGCTGAGTCCCAGCCAGGGCCTCACCCAAGATGAGGATTCTCCATGGGTTTGGAGTTGGGTTTCCTTTTCCTGCCCTGGAGGAGGAGGCAGAGGTACTAGGATGGGGGCTGAGCTCCAGCTGAGCAGGGTTAAGGGAAGTGTGTCCACCAGGCATCTGTGCATGGGGGAGTTGTTGGGAAAGCACTGGCCACTGCCCAGTGTTCTGCCCCAGGGCAGCTCAGGGGGCCCTGAGCACCTAGGGTCCAGGAAGTGCCGTGCATTGAGGTTTGTTGAGTTGGCTCCTCTGGTGTTTTGCTGATGGGGTAAGGAGGCAAATGGAGACCCCAGGCCAGGGACTCTCCTGTCCCACAAGTGCCCAGCTCCCCCAGGAGGACCTGGCTCACCCCAAGCCAGCAGGAAGCACAGGAAAGTTTCTGCATGGCACAGAAGCCAGGCCCTCCTCAAGAGGGGGCATCACACTGCAGGTGTCAGGACTCAGGCCCACTGCTATTTCCACATTATTAATTTTATAAGGTGATATGGTTTGGCTGCGTTGCCACCCAAATCTCATCTTGAACTGTAATTTCCATAATCCTCATGTGTCCTGGGAGGGACCCAGTGAGAGGTAACTGAATCATGGCGGCAGTTTCCCCATGCTGTTCTCATGATAGTAAGTGAGTTCTCATGTGATCTGATGGTTTTATAAGCAGCTGGCATTTCCCTTGCTTGAGGTGATGAATGCCCCATTTACCCTGATGTGATTATTACACATTGCATGCCTGTGTCAAACTATCTCATGTACCCCATAAATATATACACCTACCATGTACTCATATAAATTAAAAATAAAAATAAATTTTTTAAAAAAGTGTGAGTTTTAAAGGTGAGGTTTGCCCTCCAGCGCTGGTGCCTGCCAGGTGTGACCTTCACATCATCTTTCCACATGGTCCAGGTCCCCATCTGCAGAGGCCAACAGTTCCCAGAGTGACCTTCCTCAGAAAACAGGGTCTTGGAGGAGACAGTCAGAGGAGGGGGCCTCGTCCTCCCCACTGCACAGCCCCTTGTGGGGATTGGAAGTGAGGGTCTCTGCCCACAAGTTGGCAGTCACCCTAAGCTGTTTTGTGGGAGGAAGCATAGGGAATATAGGTCAGTGCTGGAACAGCATTTCCTGATCCTGACTTGGAGAAGGTGTTAAAATCTTGACATTCCCGACTCCTCCTTTGTGAGAGCCCCTGTCCTGCAGGTCTCACAGGGTTGTTGTGAGGGCCACCTGTGGTGATGGGTTTGGAAGTGCTTTGTGAATGACACAGTGGGCCTTCCTATTCCTGTCATTGGCCTTTCGACCTTCAATACTAATTGCCTGGGGATCTCCAGGCCTCAAGGTCTAATCCTGGAAGGGTATGAGATGTCCCTAGTGGAATATTCTACACCTCCTGGGAGGTCTCTCACTTCAACCTTCACCTGACATAACCCCTGCTCCTGTTCCCTCAACCTGGAGAGCTTGCCCAGGAGCACAGGGTAGTACTGGACTGACCTCTTTGGAAAGGGTGATTACATCCTCATTTCAGCTCTCCCTCCTCCTAGTTTTCCACGTAGAAATCCAGGGCTCCATGCAGCATTTGCTGGACATGAGGGGAAAACTTTTAGGGCAGGCATCTGCCCTGGGTGGGGACAGAGGAGTATCCTGGAGTCTGAGTGTCAGGAGTGTGAGACCTGCCCAGCTGGCCAGCCCCTGTCCCCATGCTGCTCGATGCATGATGTTTCCTGCACAAGCTTCCTTTAGAGGGAAGCTTCCGGAGTGACTGCAGTGAGGTCCATGCTGTTGGGGGTGACAGAGCAGCCCTGGAGGCCCTCTGCTCTTACCCTGGCAGGAGGTGGCCAAAAAGAAGCAGGCAGAGGAAGCTTCTCCAACACGCTTGGAAAGAAATTTCCACATATCACTCACGTCACTCTTGCCACTAGAAGGAAAATTTCTACAGTGGAGTGGAAGAAAATGACTATGCTGTGGGAGAGAATGGATGCATCCAGAAGAGCAAGGGGGGAGGGAAATGTGCCCATTGCCAGAATTTTGTGTCTTTTGAAGACATTTGCCAGAATTCTACTTTTGAAGGCTGCCCCTTTTGACAGTCAGTTACTGAGGAAGCTGTGGGACATTTTCAAAGCCTTTTATATAAAAAAAACCACACAATATACTGCTGTGGGTCTGTGTTCAGGGACTATGAAGAGCACAGCTGCCACTGTTCTGTGTCGCAGATGCTGTGGGAAGTGCCTTAACACACAGAGGTTTGCTTCATGCAACCGGGTGAGGAACATCTCTAAAACATTTTACAGTCAAGAAAATTCAGTGTTCAGGAGGTTGAATGCGTTATCCAAGATCACACATATGTCCTGACAGATTTGGGGTTCAATGAAGAATTATGTATTTTAATTAAGAATTATGTATTTTAATTAATAATTATATATTTTAATTTCACATTTTAAATTTCTGCAGTTTTCTTCCATCACTTTTCACCATGCTTTCTACACTTGGAATTACTTTTTTTGGCTTCTTGATCTTCTTTACTTGTATGTTATTGATTTTCTACAAGTTTTAACATATATGATTAAAGAGTATTTCTTAATGTTTTAATAATTATCCTAGAATAAAATATATTTACTTTGATGTATGCATTGGATATTACAGTGTATTGTGTACATTTTCAAACACTTTGTGTTATACCAGAAGCATTATTCAACAGTGGTCATTTTTTTACCTGAACTATGTTCAGAAAATCTTTCCACCACAGTACAAAAAGATCGACTTCATTTTGTTAACAGATGGATGTGCCATAGTGCAATTAACTGTTTAATTATCCTGTTATCCTGTTGTGGATATTTAAGTTCAAACAATGCAGTAATAAATATGCAAGAGTGCTTTTAGACATTAAACAATATGGCTCTAAATTAGGGACCTAGTGCCTGTAATCCCAGCACTTTGGGAGGTCGAGGTGGGTGGATCACCTGAGGTCAGAAGTTTTGAGACCAGCCTGGCCAACATGGCAAAACCCCGTTTCTACAAAAAATACAAAAATTAGCTGGGTATGGTGATGCGCACTTGTAGCCCCAGCTACTCGGGAGGCTGAGGTAGGACAATTGCCTGAACCCACGAGGCAGAGGTTGCAGTGAGCTGAGATCCTGTCACTGTACTCCAGTCTGCGGGACAGAGTGAGACTCTGTCCCAATAATAAATAAATAAATAAATAATCTAGAAGTACAATTGCTTAGCCAAATTTCTTATGCATTTTGAATGATAAGAGTTGCTGCCTCATTTCTGTTACAAAGGCTATGGTAATTTACGCTCAAAACACAGAATAGGTTGGTTGTTGTCACATATGGAGTCTTACTGTTGCCGAGACTGGAGTGCAGTGGTGTAATCCTAGCTCGTTGTAGCCTCCAACGCCTAGGCTCAAGCAATCCTCTTACCTCAGCCTCCCTCCCAATTAACTAGGATTACAGGTGCATGCCACCACACCCGGCTAATTTTATTCTTAGTTATGGGATCTTGCTATGTTGCCCAGGCTGGTCTTGAAATCCTGGCCTCAAGGTGACCTCAGCCTCCAGTGTAGCTGACATTACAGGCGTGAGACACTGTACCTGGCTGAATGAGTGCCTCTATCCTGACACTTGTGTCCCCACGGGATCCTGCAGAATTCAGGACCCTGTCCACACAGGGGAAAACTCTCTGTTGGGGTCCTGATGACTGAGGAGGGAGCTTACCCATGGCTCTCCTGGTCATTTTTATTTAATAGTGAGCACAGAACCTCACATTTTCTGGAATGTTCCCATATGATTTTGTGAGAGAAAAGAGAATAGAGACCCCAACCCCAAGCTCACTGTGTCAAAGGGAAAATTAAGCTTGGGAACTGAGTTACGCAATACTGCCTTCCTTGTTCTCAAACACATAGCTATAACTTCACAACCCTGTGTCATAGCCTCATCCATAAGCCAGGTTCACACAGTGACAGAAGGCCGCATGTCTCCTCAGATGTCCTCCCTCACAATTTGCTGTGAACCCCTAAATCTTTCAGAATGCACATCCCACCTTAAACTATCCCTAAAAGTGGGTCGGCTCAATTTCACCCTGACAATCTCAATTACCAGCTTATTTTCATAGTTCTGGGACAAGGTCAGGACCAGAAATCATCCCTCTGCCTATCCTGAGATGAATGAATCATTGAGTTTTCCTCTACTCCACTCCCTCTATTCACATGCTTACTTTATCTTATGTAAAATGGAGATTTACTGAATGTGAGATGAACGCATAACTGTTTCCTCTGCTCCCTCCTTTCCTATGTAAAATGTAGATATCCTGATGCTAATCAGAGCCACACAAGAATGCAAGCATTTGCTTCACTGCCTACCTTCAGTCTCGCGGGAGTTCTCTGGATTTCTTGTATCAGCATGTGGACCTCTTTAGCAAGATTGAGGACAGTTTCCTCAATTATATCCTCAAAAACGTTTTCCAAGTTGCTCACTTTCTCTTCTTCTCTGTTAGAAATGCCAGTAAGTCAGCTGGGCACAGTGGCTCATGCCAGTAATCCCAGCACTTTGGGAGGCCAAGGTGGGAGGATCACCCGAGGCCAGAAGTTTGAGATCTAACTGGCCAGCATGGCGAAACCCCATCTTTACTAAAAATACAAAAATTAGCGAGGCATGCTGGCACACGCCTGTAATCTCAGATACTTGGGAGGCTGAGGCACGAGAATTGCTTGAACCCAGGAGGTGGAGGTTTCAGTGAGCCAAGATCATGCCACTGCACTACAGACTGGGTAACAGAGTAAGATTCTGTCTCAAAAAAAAAAAATTCCAATAAGTCATAGATTTTGTTCCTTTACATAATCCTACATTTCTCAAAAGTTTGGTTCATTATTTTTAAATTCTTTTTTTATTTTTGTCTGACTGGGTTGATTCAAAGGTCTGGTCTTTGAGCTCTTAAATTATTTCTTCTATTTGGTCTAGTCTGTTGCTAAGGCTGTGAACTGTTTTTTGAAATTCCTATAGTAAATTTTTCAATGCAAGAAGCTCTGCTTGGTTCTTTCTCAATATGGCTATGTTGTCATTCAAATCCAGGATCGTTGTTATGGGGTTGTTGCTGGATTTCAACTTTCTGTTGGCTTTTGGTGATTTTTTTTGCCACTTATATCTTGAGTACTATACCTGTCATTTCAGACGTTGCATTCTGGTTAGGACGCATTGCTAGATTGCTGGTGTAATCCTTTGGAGGTGATGGAACATTCTGGCTTTTTGTATTGCCAGAGTTCTTGTGATGGTTTCTTCTCATCTGAGAGACTTGATGCTTCCTTTGTTGAATTTGCTATCATTTGGAAGGAGTTTTTTTTTAAATTTTTCATTCTTTCTTTCTCTTAAGGGTATGACTGTGGTGTATGTTGTATAGGATCATTTTGCTTCATTTCTGGGTACTTTCAGAGGACCAAGGCTCTGTACAAGTTCCTTGGTTGCAGATAGGCTCCTGTGGTGGCTTGGTGTGGTGATGTATTTTTGTTTGGTGGTGTAATTCAGGCTTCAGTCCAGTAGACAGTGCTTAAGAGTAACAGCTGGCTGCAGGGTCTTCTCCTCTGTGTACTTGTCCTCGACAGGTGCAGAAGTGACAAAGTGCCAAAAGCGCCCTGTCCCAGTGGGTACTAGTCTTCAGCAGGGGCAGAGCTGCTGGAGAAACCTAAGAAGCAGCCTCTTTCAGCCCACGTTCCTTGGGTCCCAACAGGATGACCACTGCTGGATCTGCAGCAGTGCACTAGGAAAGGGACAGAGGGCAAGAGATGACCACCTCTCTAAATCTGTTCCTAGGCTTTGGTGTGCCCCTTTCAGCAGCTGATATCGTGATCGTGTTTCCTTTGACCCAAGGGGTGGCTTTGGCAAGCTGTATTCCTCCTTCCCTTAGGGCTGGTCCTCACCAAAGTTTAGGTCTCCTGGGGAATGGGGTTCACCTCCCTCTTGTTTCTTGGAACTGATGGAGTACTCTCTCAACTGACCAAGGGAGCAGGCTGAGACACCCAGCAATGACACACACAGACCAGTTCCAGGTTGCAAAGCTGTTCTTGGCTGCAAGTCTCACCATCCTTGAGAAACCTCTGCTTTAGCAACTCTCTTCCCACTACAGTCCTGCAAGAGGAAAGAGCCTAATTCCAACACTTACTGCTGGAGCACTTTCCACACTCAACACTCAATTCTGGCTGTTGAGGCTGCTCCCCTGCTCCAGAGCAAGCACTCCAATTCCTAGCCCAAGATTAAAGTGTCTGCAGTGGCCACCATTGCCAGGCACCAAAAAATGATTGACTTTGTATGAGCCCAGATTAAAAAGGGCATCCTTCTCTCAGTCCCAGGTCTGGGTAAATGCCTGCAGCTTTTCTGAGTGTCTTTCCTCTTTCCCCATCTCTCAGCCACTTTTTTGCTAGCTCCAAGGCTTGGGAGAAACAGAGTGTTCTCCCTTAATCTGGATTGCACAAATCCCCAGTGAAAAGGTGAGTTGCAGAGGGAGACTGGCTGCTCTTCTCTCGTACTGGAGTTTCACTCCCTTCTATGAACCAAATGCTATCACAGAGTCTGCTTTCCCACCTCCCCGTCCACAGGGTCTGGAGTGTTCTTCTCTATTCCTGTGAATTCCTATTTTTCTTCTTGAATTGAAGCTCACAAAGTTTATCTTTATGCTTATTTTTCTACTTCCAAGTGGCTGAGGCACATTGAAAGCCCCTAATCCATCGTTCTAGGAAAAAAGGATGGTTTAAATAAAGGAATGTTCATATAAAATATATATTAATTAGTGCAAACATATTTTATTTGACATGAGTTAGGTGAATCTTTGATACATTAATTAATTTTAAAATTGTTAAATAAAATTAGAAATATCTTCGAATTTGCCAAGGTATGTTTCTCTCCTGGGATTACTGGTCAGTTTTATTTTTTCCTTGGATAGACATTTTAAGCCATAAATCTTGACATAGACCTGATGTAGACCTCCATACCTTTCCCAGATGTGGGACGGAGCAACTGGGACAGGTCCATCCTAGCACTAAGGGATGATTAAACCTAACTTGTAGTCATTGTACAACTATAAACATGGTTGATGCTTTAAGAGAAAGATCTTGATGGAAAGGGTTAAATGTAAAAATTGATCATATGAATTGGGTCATTCTTATCACACCAAATAAAACCATCAACGAGCCAGGGGGAGGAGGCATTCAGGGCAAAAACACCACTCCAAAAGCGTAATTCTCTGCATGCCTGGCTGCTGAAATTACCTGCTTTAAGCTGAAACCAGTTTTATCAAATGGTTACTGAAACAACCTCTTGAACACTAAGACTAGCTTTACCCACCACTGTCCCTCACCTATCAGAGCCTGCCAGCTCTCAAAAACCTTACTGGTGCCAGTGAACTTTCTCAAAGAGAAATACATACTGTTTTTCTCTCTGTCTCCCTTTTTTATAAAACCTCTAACTTTCTCTTTATGTTTTGGACATACTAAAGACACCCATTCTGCATGTATGTGTGAAATTGTAATACTTGTATCTCAAATAAAACATTTTAATTTCAGATGTTTGTCTCTATATTTATTTGACTTTGACAATCTGATATTATTTAGCATTATTTCCAGTCTCCCAAATAATGTCAAAATTTTGTTATGTTAGATAGGAATATCTTGTTATTCAACTTGAAGGTAAACTGCTTGATCAATGCATGTAATTCCTTGACAGTTTGTCAGCACCTCTAAGACAACATGTAGATATTGCTCATTATTAACTCATTTCATCTTTTCATGATAAATTACAAAAATTTAATTTTCATTTTTAAAATGCAAACCATTATGCCTTGTATTATGGCATTCTTGCATTACTATAAAGGAATACCTAAGCACTACATAATTTATACTGAAAAAAAAGATTGACTTGGCTCACAGTTCTGCAGGCTGTACAGGAAGCTTTGCATTGGCAGTTGCTTGGCTTCAAGAAGGGTCCTCAGGGAGCTTTTACACATGGCAGAAGGTGAAGCAAAAGAAGGTATGTCACATGGCCAGAGCAGGAGCAAGCAGGGAGAGGTGCCACACACTTTTAAACAGCCAGATGTAATGAGAACTCACTCACTCTTGCAAGGACAGTGCCAAGAGGATGGTGTTAAACATGAGAAATCAGCCCTCATGACCCCATCACCTCCCACCAGACCCCGACTCCAACACTGGGAATTACAATTCGACATGAGACTTAAAGGGTACAACATCCAAACTATTTCATTCCATCCCTGGCCCTTCAAATCTCATGTTCTTCTCACATTGCAAAATACAATCATCCCTTCTCAATAGTCCCCCAAAAGTCTCAACCTGTTTCGGCATCACTCGAAAGTGCAGTTTCTTCTGAGACAAGGCAAGTCCCTTCCACTGATGCGCCTGTAAAATCAAAACAAGTTATTTATTTCTAAGAAAATTGGGGTACAGGCATTGGGTAAACATTCCCATTACAAAAGAGAGAAATTGGCCAAAAGAAAGGGGCTACAGGCCCCACACAAGTTCAAATCCCAGCAGGGCAGTCATTAAAACTCGATGTTCCAAAATAATCTGCTTTGAAACCATGTCCCACATCCTGGGAACATAGAGCATTCCCATGATGCATAGGGTGGGCTCCCAAGGCCTGGGGCTGCTCTGCTCCCACGGCTCTTCTACACTGAAGGCATGAGCTGCTGGTGGCTCTATCATTCTGGGATCTGGAGGGCAGCAGCCCCCTTCCCACAGCTCCACTAGGCAGCCCCCCCAGTCAGGACCCCGAGTGGGGCCTCCAACCCCACATTTCCACTTGGCACTGTGCTAGAAGAGGTCCTCTTTGAGAGCTCCAGTGGTGCATAGTCTTCTCCCTGGGCATCCAGCCTTTCTCATACATCCTCTGAAATTTAGGCAGAGAATGCCAAGCCTCCTTCACTCTTGCACTTTGCTCACCTGCAGGCTTAACACCACATGGAAGCCACCAAGGCTTATAGTTTGCACCCTCTGAAGCCATGACCTGAGCTCTATCTGCAGCCCTTTGAACCAAGGCTGGAGCTAGAAGGGCCAGGATGCAAGGAACACCCTCCTGGGGGTGGTACAGGACAGTGATGCCCTGGCCCTGGTCCAAGTGGAACAGGAATTAAAAGAAATTAAAGAATGTGTAAGCAGAAACTCAGTTGTATGTGAGAAAACCCAGTTCCCCCTGAGAAAGAGAAAGAGCTGGAGCCCTTTAAAAATTAACTGCCTGTTTTTCTGTGGCTAGTGAGCTTCATCTCTCCTCCTTTCCCAGGCATTGTGAAGACCCTGTTTCCCTAGCTGTGCAGCTGCAAGGTCACTAGACAGATAAACTCAAGTCGTAAAACATGTTTTTCCTTGAAAAGTAAGAAATGATATAATGCATGTCTCAATTAATTGAATAACTGTCTTTGTTTCTCACTTCTGTAATATGCTTCCCCCTGCACAGATCTCCCCACTCTCCACCACCCCACAAAATGCTTAAAAGTTAACTTAAGTCTTTGTTCAGGACTCAGTCCTTTGGTTGTTAATCTGACTGGGCCGGTGCACCTAAATAATAAATATCCTCCTCAACCCCATCAGTCTCTCTGATTCCTTAAAAAATCCCGCTACAGCCTGGGCACGGTGGCTCACGCCTGTAATCCCAGCACTTTGGGAGGCTGAGGAGGGCAGATCACGAGGTCAGGAGATTGAGACTATCATGGCTAAGACAGTGAAAACCCGTCTCTACTAAAAATACAAAAAATTAGCCAGGCATGGTGGCAGTCACCTGTAGTCCCAACTACTTGGGAGGCTGAGACAGGAGAATGGCATGTCCCGGAATGTAGAGCTTGCAGTGAGCTGAGATTGTGCCACTGCACTCCAGCCTGGGAGACAGAGTGAGGCTCCGTCTCAAAATAAATAAATAAATAAATTAATTAATTAATTAATTTTTAAAATCCCACTACACAAGAAACCATTCTTTCATCCTAGACCTCTAGGTCTGTGCTGGGATGAGCTGCTGCAAAGATTTCTGAAATGCCTTCAAGGCCTTTTTTTAATTGTCTTGGCTATCAGCACCTAGCTCTTTTTCAGTTATGCAAATGTCTCTAATAAGTGGTTGCTCCACAGCCTGTTTAGATTCTTCCCCTGAAAATGCTTTATCTTCCTTTGCCAAATGGGCAGGCTGCAAATTTTCTATACTTGTATGGTCTGCTTCCCATTTAATTGTAAATTCCAACTTTAAGTCATTTTTTTGCTCCTGCATCTGAGTGTTCAAACTTCCTCAGATCCCTAGTACATGAACAGACTGCAGCCAAGTTCTTTGCAAAGGCATAACAGGCATGACCTTTATTCCAAGTCCCAGTAAGTTCCTCATTTTCATCTGAGACCGCATCAGCCTATCCTTCACCGTCCATATCACTATCAGCATTTTGGTCACAACCATTTAACTAGTCTCTAAGAAATTCAGAACTTTCCTTCATCTTCCTGTATTAGGAGCCCTCCAAACTCTTCCAACTCCTGCCCATTACCTAGTTCCAAAATCACTTCCACATTTTCAAGTATCTTTATAGCAATGCCCCATGTCTCAGTACCAATTTTCTGTATTAGGCCATTCTTACATTGCTATAAAGAAATACCTGAGACTGGGTAATTTATAAAGAAAAGAGGTTTGAAAAGAGGTTTGTATAGCTGCAGGCTGTACAAACATGATTCTGGCATCTGCCTAGCTCCTGGTGAGGCCTCAGCAGGCTTTATTCACGGCAGAAGATGAAGAAGGAGCAGGCAGGCACATCACCTGGCAAGGCAGGGGAAGCACCACACACTTTTAAACAAATAGATCTTGCAAGAATTCACTCACTATCACAAAGACAGCACCAGGGACAGGATGCTAGACCATTTCTGAGAAATCCACCCCCATGATCCAATCACCTCCCTCCAGACCTACCACCAACATTGGGGATATCACAATTCAACATGAGATTTAGAGGGAACAACATCTGAGGTATCTCATGCCTCATGTTGTGACTTGGTATAATGTCCATAAGATTACACTGACTTTACACATCATATTGCAGTTTTTGCTAGCTCTTCTGTAGTAAGAAAATGGAATTCATCAGCAATGCCTTCTAAGTCTGGCTCTGTTTTCCCATGCAGACTATTCCCTGAGCTCTGCTTGTCAGTCTTGCTAGAACCTCACCCTAGGCAGCAACCTCCAGTCTGAGATTGCCCTTGACAGTGGCTGAGGTTTGCATTGTTGGAATGGATTAGAAAAAACAAAGGGAAGACAGACCAAAACAGATTTAAATACAGATCCCATTTGTTGAAGTTTTAAGTAATTGTAAATGTTTATTTGCACCAGCTGCCCACTCCCATTGTACTCTCCTCACCCAAAAAGGTGACTTGATATTCTAGTAAAAAGCCAAACTGTGCTTTAGAGAAACCCACTTGTTACTTCTTTAAATCCATATTATTTTTCCAAAGTGAATTTTTCTTAATATGCTCTGGCAGAATCAGTAAACTAATTATTTACACCAGAGTCACTTAACCTTTCCTCTTGGTCATTTGCATGTAAATTATTTTTATATGTATAAAATTTGCTTACTCAAGAAAGCTCTTGCTATATATATATATATATATATTTTTTTTTTTGTGGTATCTTAACATACTCTAGTCTTGTCTTGAATTCCTTAAGACTTTGAGGTAAAGAACTCTATTGTAACAAGTTTCCAAATCAAAGTGGGAAAGAGGAAGATTAGGTTAAGCATTAGGTCATCAGGTATGTAGGACAGCTAATTCCATTATCAGAATGGTAGTGATAGCCAGTTTGCATTTTGTATATTAGTTGTAACGAAAATATTCAGCATATTAGTGACAAAACCAAAGTTATTGTGAATCAGTTTATAATTTATTTTTTGAGATAGGATCTTACTCTGTCACCCAAGCTCAAGTGCAGAGGCATGATCTTGGCTCACTGAAGCCTCAACCACCTGGGCTCAAGAGATCCTCCCAGCCCAGCCTCCTTAGTATAGGTGAGTGCCACCACACCCAGCTATTTTTTCTCTAGTTTTTGTAGAGATTGGGTCTCACTTTGTTGCCAAGGCTGTTCTCAAACTCCTGGGCTCAAGCAATCCTTCTGCCTCAACCTCCCAAGTGGTGCTGGGATTACAGGTTTGAGCCACCGCACCTGGCCAGTTTATAATGTTAATGGCTTTTGGAGCAGGAACCAGTGGGTGCTGCTTCTTGTCTGCAAGATGAGGAGTCTCCTCTCCCCAGAAGTGAGGCATCTTCTACCACAAGGGAGGCTTTGCCCAAACAGTCACCGAAAGGCAGAGATTGGGGAGAGAACAAAACAGGAGTGAATATGTTCCTGGAACCTAACTGCTCCCCAATTCAATTCTACTGCAGACATTCAGAATGAAGGGGACATTCAGCTGAAGAACAGGAGTGCACTGGCTGTTAAAATCTCAGATTGTAAAAACAATTTTGCTTCATTTTCCTTAAATAATTTTTAAACAATTGTTCTTAGGTGATTTTCTAAACTTCAGGTAATATCTGTGACTTAGTAAATGTTCTTTAAAAGATGGGATAATATTTTTATTTTGTTTAATTATATGTGTTTTTAAACTAATTTTATAGGAAAAATAATTTCTTTCCTTCCCTGTTATACCAAATACAGCCTTTAGCTCAAGACACAAGTAATTCCAGGAAAACTGGAATGTAAGTTCAATATGTTGCACTAAGTACATTTGAAAGTGCATGCATTTTTATTTTAATTCATCATTCTCAGTCAACTATCGCTGGAAACCATCATTCTTAGCAAACTATCACAAGGACAAAAAACCAAACACCGCATGTTCTCACTTATAGGTGGGAATTGAACAATGAGAACACATGAACACAGGAAGGGGAACATCACACTCTGGGGGCTGTTGTGGGGTGGGGAGAGCGGGGAGGGATAGCATTTAGCCTAAGGCTAAATGTCGAGTTAATGGGTGCAGCACACCAGCATGGCACATGTATACATATGTAATGTATACATATGTTAATGCACCAATTCTGCATCAAGTCAGTGCAATCAGAGACACTGCAAGAATGACTTTTGGTTTTCTTTTCCTAGTTTTTGAAAGTTTCTCAAGTCTGTCATACTGGACTCTGTATTACATCTTGAATTTTTTTCACTTACTATAGATCTCCTATACGCTCAATTGTTTAGCTATTACCTTAACATTTACCCTGTGAACCCATGACATTTGAGGCTGCCAAAGTGATTATTACATGATAAAACATATACTCGGTTAAAGGCAATATTTAACAATTGTAAAACCAATAAATCAATAATTAAATCTTTCTGGCTTAGACTTAAAACTGCTTAATTTAGTCATATCTCTACCCACAATATAGGGATTCCAGCAAGGGTTGAAAGTAGAGTTGGCAAGCATTTCCATTCTCTTCTGGGACAATAATTCTTACTACCAACACTGGTTCTGACCAGTGAAATTCAAAATCAGTGAAACACTACTCAGAGTCTGAGTGAGCCAAAAATAGTTTCACTTTAGGAAAAAGTCTATATCCTTAGATGTGAGTGATTCTCTGTGAACATTTTATTCACTTTAATATATTTAAAGAAAATCTTTCTGAATTGGTGTGTTTTCTTTAGTTTGTATTCTGATACTTTGATGCTAAAAGCTTTTGACTTTAAGTTTTCATGGAGGGGCTATCTACATAATAATTTTTATACATCATTATATGCATCAATGATTAAAAAGGAGTAGAAATTTTTACACTAATTGAGAAATATTATAGACCTAACTAAATGCGGGCAAACTATAAGCAATTTGGGGAAACTATAAGGATGTAATTAAATAGTCACTGTTTTTAGAAACCATTAACTGCATATTGAAATCTTGACACTTGTTGGGAAAATGAGGTGGTAAATCAACTTGTCAGCGTGAGTACTAAATAAAACAAAATATGGTTAAGAGTGTCCCTTTAAAGTTCAGATAGTAGTTCTGCAATTTCTGATTTTAAATGTTTCTGCAAAATAGTTTATCTGAATGATTAAACTATTATTCCGTGTTCACCAACCATTAAGAAAATCTGCTGTATGACCAGGTTAAACCTGAAAATGGTATAATTCAAAACTTGATGTAGGCAATAGGTATGTAGAATGTGTTTATTCTAATATGAGAGGGCATATCAAAGTAATTTTCTTGGAGCACACTGTCAAAACAAAGCAATGGGATTTGGCCATGGACATTTCATTATTATCAAAGAGACCTGGACACTACCTTAGAGTAATAACTTTATTATTTAGCAAAGATGTTTTATAAAAAGAACAACAAAATGAGAGGAATAGAAATCACACAGGTAAAACAGATAATCTGACTTTGTGGGTCTCAGAGCAGAGATTAGTGTCTTTCAGTTTCAGAGTAAATGACCTCACTGCATTTCTCTGAACTGTCATGGTTGTCACAAATATACTGTGTTCTAACTCACTCCATGATTTAAGGTCTACAAAGTAACAAAGGCAAAATAACCTATATGCTCTACCATATTTTCCTCAATTCTAGTGTTCTTCAAAGAGAGAATGTTTTCTCTAAATCTAATTGAGAGTAATTCTGTATGGATCGCTAAACCTTTCTTCAGGCAGTTGGAGTAATATGTGTCTAGGGCTAACTCAGAGGGGTCTTTTATGTCTTTTAAAAGAAGCTAACTATACTCTTGTGATATGATAATCACCGTCATTGACTTACAGTTTCTAAGGTTTGAAGGGATATTGAACACTCAAGGGGCTCACATTCTTACTGATTCATGAATCTCTTCAGGTCCAGGGAACTTAGTATTTTTCAAGAGTGCAAAATGCCTAGAGACAGCTGGGAACAAATGAATGTCATTCCTGATACTGTGCTCATAGTTACTTGAGCTTCATCTCAGAAAACAAATTGTCTGGTGCAATATTTCTTACAACTTAGTTCCTAAATGAACTCAACAAACTAGTTCTTTTGTTTTATTTTATTTATTACTATTATACTTTAAGTTTTAGGGTACATGTGCACAACGTGCAGGTTTGTTACATATGTATACATGTGCCATGTTGGTGTGCTGCACCCATTAACTCGTCATTTACCATTAGGTATATCTCCTAATGTTATCCCTCCCCACTCCCCCCACCCCACAACCGTCCCTGGTGTGTGATGTTCCCCTTCCTGTGTCCATGTGTTATTGTTCAATTCCCACCTATAAGTGAGAACATGCAGTGTTTGGTTTTTTGTCCTTGTGATAGTTTGCTAAGAATGATGGTTTCCAGCTTCATCCATGTCCCTACAAAGGACATGAACTCATCATTTTTTATGGCTGCATAGTATTCCATGGTGTATATGTGCCACATTTTCTTAATCCACTCTATCATTGTTGGACATTTGGGTTGGTTCCAAGTCTTTGCTATTGTGAATAGTGCCACAATAAACATACGTGTGTATGTGTCTTTATAGCAGCATGATTTATAATCCTTTGGGTATATACCCAGTAATGGGATGGCTGGGTCAAATGGTATTTCTAGTTCTAGATCCCTGAGGAATTGCCACACTGACTTCCACAATGGTTGAGCTAGTTTACAGTCCCACCAACAGTGTAAAAGTGTTCCTATTTCTCCACATCCTCTCCAGCACCTGTTGTTTCCTGACTTTTTAACGATCATCATTCTAACTGGTGTGAGATGGTATCTCATTGTGGTTTTGATTTGCATTTCTCTGATGGCCAGTGGTGATGAGCATTTTTTCATGGGTTTTTTGGCTGCATAAATGTCTTCTTTTGAGAAGTGTCTGTTCATATCCTTCACCCACTTTTTGATGGGGTTGTTTGTTTTTTTCTTGTCACTTTGTTTGAGTTCTTTGTAGATTCTGGATATTAGCCCTTTGTCAGATGAGTAGGTTGTGAAAATTTTCTCCCATTCTATAGGTTGCCTGTTCATTCTGATGGTAGTTTCTTTTGCTGTTCAGAAGCTCTTTAGTTTAATTAGATCCCATTTCTCAATTTTGTCTTTTGTTGCCATTGCTTTTGGTGTTTTAGACATGAAGTCCTTGCCCATGCCTATGTCCTGAATGGTATTGCCTAGGTTTTCTTCTAGGGTTTTTATGGTTTTAGGTCTAACATGTAAGTCTTTAATCCATCTTGAATTAATTTTTGTATAAGGTGTAAGGAAGGGATCCAGTTTCAGCTTTCTACATATGGCTAGCCAGTTTTCCCAGCACCATTTATTAAATAGGGAATCCTTTCCCCATTGCTTGTTTTTGTCAGCTTTGTCAAAGATCAGATGGTTGTAGATATGTGGCATTTTTTCTGAGGGCTCTCTTCTGTTCCATTGATCTATATGTCTGTTTTGGTACCAGTACCATGCTGTTTTGGTTACTGTAGCCTTGTAGTATAGTTTGAAGTCAGGTAGCGTGATGCCTCCGGCTTTGTTCTTTTGGCTTAGGATCGACTTGGTGATGCGGGCTCTTTTTTGGTTCCATATGAACTTTAAAGTGGTTTTTTCCATTTCTGTGAGGAAAGTCATTGGTATCTTGATGGGGATGGCATTGAATCTATAAATTACCTTGGGCAGTATGGCCATTTTCACGATATTGATTCTTCCTACCCATGAGCATGGAAT
This sequence comes from Homo sapiens, assembly GCF_000001405.40. Classification (NCBI taxonomy): domain Eukaryota; kingdom Metazoa; phylum Chordata; class Mammalia; order Primates; family Hominidae; genus Homo; species Homo sapiens. The sequence continues at coordinate 40,148,617 of NC_000009.12, forward strand.
GTTCTTCCATTTGTTTGTATACTCTTTTATTTCATTGAGCAATGGTTTGTAGTTCTCCTTGAAGAGGTCCTTCACCTCCCTTGTATGTTGGATTCCTATGTATTTTATTCTCTTTGAAGCAATTTTGAATGGGAGTTCCCTCATGATTTGGCTCTCTGTTTGTCTGTTATTGGTGTATAAGAATGCTTGTGATTTTTGTACGTTGATTTTGTATCCTGAGACTTTGCTGAAGTTGCTTATCAGCTTAAGGAGATTTTGGGCTGAGACAATGGGGTTTTCTAGATGTACAATTATGTCACCTGCAAACAGGGACAATTTGACTTCCTCTTTTCCTGATTGAATACCCTTTATTCCCTTCTCCTGCCTGATTGCCCTGGCCAGAACTTCCAACACTATGTTGAATATGAGTGGTGAGAGAGGGCATCCCAGTCTTGTGCCAGTTTTCACAGGGAATGCTTCCAGTTTTTGTCCATTCAGTATGATATTTGCTGTGGGTTTGTCATAGATACCTCTTATTATTATGAGATATGTCCCATCAATACCTAATTTATTGAGAGTTTTTAGCATGAAGTGTTGTTGAATTTTGTCAAAGGCCTTTTCTGCATCTATTGAGATAATCATGTGGTTTTTGTCTTTGGATCTGTTTATGTGCTGGATTATGTTTATTGATTTTATGCAAGAATAATCTAAATTTCTCTGGTGAAAGAACCTAAACATGCCTTTTAAAAATTTATATATCATTCCTTTTGTAAAATCTAATGAAAATAACAATTTTGTCTATTGTAAAAGGCAAGTGATTGCAACAGATGGAAATCACTTTATTTCCTATATCTTTGTAAAGATAATGACTGCTAATAAACAACATGAAGAATTTTCAGGTATAATTTTGATAAAAATTTAATGGTTTTGGGCTTCTAGGCCAAATCTGCAATACAACCCTTCATAAGATTGTACTTTGAAACTCTCGTTGTCATCTGACATATGCAGATAGTACAGAAATATAATCCCCTTTCTAAATGTTTACATTGTCTCCCTGGTATGAATTAGCTTGCTGGAAACATCAGTAATCACTGACATAAAGATCCCACTATTAAATAAAACTGATACTTTTTAAAACCATGCAGCAAATAAGAAACATTTCATAAAGCAACACAGGATTTTATATGTTTCCCATTCCATTAGAGGCTATTATGCTGAATTGGATCCTCATTCCAACCTGTGTCCATATTTTAGGGTTGAAATAGTCTAAAACATAACATTTACTGTTCTCCTGTTGTGATATCTGTATAGCTAATATGTTCACATTCTCTGTATTCATCTATGTTAATAATTTTAAAAAGGAAAAGAAAGGGGGCTTTAGGAAGAACTTTACATCACACGTCAGAGTAAACATCAAATCAAGTTCTCAATTCACTAATAAACCCATTTAAGAAAAAGTATTCCGCTAGAGAGCAATGAATCTTATTGTCTTTGTGTCTGATCCATATTTCTCCACCTGACACATGGAAATAACCAGAGAGTTACTATAAAATACCTCAGGTGCATTGTTGAAAGTAATTTCCTGCTTTTGTGGGATAACTGAAACATAAACGTAAATAAGATAGTTTGAAAGTTCACTTTCTCATCAATGCTCAAATAATTTGTTCTAATAAAGCCCAGTAAAATTTAGCTTGTAATGCCATCAAGGTAAATATATTCATGAAGTACTCACTTGCTAAATTTTTAAACACAACACATTATCTCATCTTTAAGCTTTAGCTGTTATTTCAATTATCCATTGCTGTGTAATTAGCAGTCATCAAACTTAGTTGCTTAAAACACAAACTCACAATTTGTTAACTTTGGTTGGGCTCAGGAGGATAATAGTCGGAGTCTTGCCTAGGTTTCCTTATATGACTGACAAGGCCTACATAGTCCAAAGTGACATCACTCAAATATCTGGCACTTCACTGGTGCTATCAGCTGGGTTCTCCTCCACTTAGTCTCTCTGGTAGAGTAGATCAGGTTCTCATTTGGCATTGCTGCCATTTTAATTTGGCAAGCCTAAATTTACTATAATTTGTCAAGTGTCTATTAAGTCAGTGTCAGAGAGGGCTATATAAGGATATGGCTATGAGGAGACTTAATAAATCGAGGGTTCTTTGATATAACAGGCTACCCAGTTACATTTCTTGTTCTAAAGATTTTTTCAGATACAACAAACAATATTTTACAATTTAACTGGTAGATGAATGAGTTTCCTGAGATATAATTTAACTAAGCAAACTCTTTCATACTAAAAATCTTATGACCTCTTTACCCATCTTAGGTTTTAAGATTGATATGAGAGGTATTCTGGAATAGAAATCTAAATTTAAGGCTAGAGTCAAGAGTGCCGAAGATAAGACTCTTATCCAAAGGAAAATCAAGCAACTGCTATGTCTTGCAAAGGCCAGTGAGCAGACAGAGGGGAGAGAATACAATTGCACCAAATAAAGACTCACTTTGGAACTCAGTGATTATATGTGTGCATATATGTGTATATATATGTATATTATACATGTGTATGCATGTATATATGTATATTATACATGTGTATGCATGTATATATGTATATTATACATGTGTATGCATGTATATATGTATATTATACACATATATGCATGTATATATATGAATATATATAAAACTGAAAACTGCACACATCCCATATACACCATATACATGAAAGTGAACACACACACATACATAAACATATATATTCAGTTTCAAACAATTGTTAGGGAACCTGAGGAAGAAACTAAATGGAATATAATGGTTGCATCTATGATAGCCATGGTACTAGAACTAGTAGTAGTTCTACTAAGGTGAGAATTGACATAGTAAAAGAAATAAGATACAAAGCAGTAAGAGAGAGCTACATTTTCCTTAAGGCCAGGCTGAATATTCACTAACAAGGAAATTTCTACAGTCATTATTTTAATCTGATTCATTCTCTTGGTGGGATATTCCAGAGTTACCACCTACAGAAATTCCACTTTTCCTTACCGAGGTTCTCTTTTTTTCTTCTCAGTCCAAATATTAGTCATTTTGGTAGAGAAGGCAGAAACAATTAACAATTGAGTAATTCCTCAGGAATCATGTTAAAAGGTTTCCAAATCATGAATGTATAGTTATATTTTGTTCACTAGATTTTAACCCACATACCTCACTTGTAGAGAAATTATGCTTATTTGGATATTCAATATATTTCTTCATACAAAGACAAAATCTATAAAATGTACACACACACAGATGCTATGGATACATGCACACATGTGCACACACAAATATGTATACATGGTTTACCATTATTTTCTAGATCATTCAGAGGTCAGTATTAATTAAAACATCATAGATCTATGGCAAATTTTGGGCCACTTTTCCTAAGACAGGAATTTAAAAAGCCTTCAATTGTCATAACAATGGGAAGAAGTCTGAGAGCTGGAGTAAGGGAAGTTGGTGCTCAGAAATATTAACTACCATTTATATAGGATATCCTTATGAGATAATCTTAAAGCCAAATGAGGCTAAAATATTAATACGAGTTATTTAGCCAAGTTTTCCAGCAGGAAGAAGGAAATAAGCAGTGAACTAAAAAGCATACAAGATACAGAGGAGCAGGTTAAATGAAGCCATTACAGCAGAAATTGAGAAGAATAAACAGGAGTTAGAAGATGAGAGCAAGCAATTGCAAGTGGAGTGGGCTGAGCTGGAATTATGGTGTAGAAAATGACTGGTTGAGAAAAACCCAAACAAATATTTCTATAATGTCATGTGCATAAGATACCTGTAGATGTTATCAAGGTATATACATAAACTACCTGTCATTAGAGCTAATTTCTTAGCAAATTATTCATAAAAGTTTATAACTTTGTGAGGCATTACAGACACCAAAACTAATGATTTGGCATTTCCGTGGCCCAATTTGTCTAAAGAACTATCTTTTACACTTTACTGTTTTTTAATAGGCAATACAGTGCTCAAAAAGTCTTTTATACCAAGTCCAGTAGGTTGATAACATTGAGTATAACTGAGTATTGCTTTGTGTCTACCCTCAGGCAAATCTGGAGATTTTCTCAAGCCTCTTTATGAAAATGGAGAGACCTCACAAGAGATGCTAATGGACAGCTGACCCTGCTCCCTGCTCCATCACAGGTTGTAGAGTATTAATTCCCAAGTTACCCAGACATTTAGTTCTGAATGTGCAAAAATGGTTTAGGTTCAAATGTTTTCAACTACTGACAAGCTCAAGAATTCAGAGGAGGTAGTACTAAGGGAAATGTAATTAATATATAATATCAAAACTTAAGCATAGCACCATAACACCTAATTTTTGATGATGTCAAATACTTAAAGTTCTCCCTTTTTATTTTCTGGTGAAAGGTGCGTAGTATACAAACCTCTACTAACTTCTTGGGCTTCTGAATAAAGGAAAGGACTACCTAATGACTGTAATAGCTTGACTGCTGAAGAATTATGTCAATTAATAAAAATTGCTTCATAGGAAAAAGATGAATTGTCTCTTCAAAGTTTTTTTAAGCATGGGTGACCAAAGCCATCCCATACTTAGAAGAAAATATTGCATTGTTTTATACAAGATATGCTGTACACGTTACAGAAGATTCATGTTTAATAATGCATCTTGTAAAAATCTTAGAGAGCTATAACCTTACAACATAACTTAACCCAAATACATTGAAAACCCCTTGGATTTAGACCTACAGGGAGGTGGTTTTTCTTTCTGTACCATAGCACGCATAGTTGAAGCAAACATACTCCTTCAAACATAATACTCTTACATAATAGAAAGTGTTCTCTGTTTTCTGGATGAAAAGGCATGAGGTCTTTTGTATTAGCAAACTGAAATTGTTAACTATAAAAAGTCAAAAATCAAAGGTGCTCTCACTTATTTATAAGGACCTTGAATGGCTGAGATTCATCAGGAAAAAAAAACATTCCTCAGAGAGTCTGATCTCAAGCTGATGTTTCTTTATTGAATTTGATTCTAAACCATCATTTTTGTTGAAACCTCTGTGCTTTCAGAATGCTGAAATGTAAAATATTTTTAACTTATGAAAGAGATAATTTATTTTTATTTTCTCCTATACATTTTTAAGTAGCACCTTAAAAAATAGACAAATCCATCCAGGGTCAAAAGAACTCAACTCAATTCTCTATCACTGTGAAAATAGACTTAGTTCTTCATTACAAAAGCACTACAATAACTACAAAAATTATACCTCCTGGAGTATATATTTACATATCCATGCAAAAGGGGAATAGATTAAAAGATGTTTATGAATGTCTAAAACCTTAAGTCAGTTTAACGTAGTATTATAAATCAGGTTTGTGGGTGATATTTTGTCTGCTTCTAGACTTGTGAGCAAGTTATTAAGTTTTAGGTTACTTATATTTAAAATTCAAAAAGGAAATGATTGTGATTGCATTCAAAGAAAGAGAGGACATTTTGAAGCTTCTTTTTTTTACTAATATCAAAACATAATATCACATTTGTAAAACACGTTGATGGCTTACAACCAAGTAAAATACCTCAATACCCCACTTTTCAAGATCAGTAATATTGGCCTAAGAGTATCACTCTATAGGAATTATAAAAAGTTGTATTTATGCCCTGAGATTATACCCTATAATGTGCAAATATTATAGGATAGACAAGTGGATATAAGGTTTCTTTCTAGGTTTCCTTATATACTCCAAATGGTAAAACTAGATGGAAGATTAAAATTCTAAATGTTGTTAATTTTAGAACCTTCAATGTCAGAGTTACTTTGTATGAATGAGTTTAGCTAATTTTCCACACTATGCATATCTAATAGAAATTACTATTGCACAGGTGAGAAAACTGCATCTCTGATTATTATTATTCACTCTAGTCACAGAGATAAGAAAGGGCAAAATATCATAATAGAAGCCCAAATAGGTCTTATTTTAATGGAATATTTTTCCACTGGACTTCAACTGGTTTATCTTATTTATCCATCCATCTAAGATCAGTTGAAAAAAGAGACTTGCAGATGCAATATTTTAGCTAATATATCCAATCTCCTATTTGAAATCTCCTGCGTATCTAACAGAAAACTCAAATTTAGTATGTCTGAAATCAAGCTGACTGCTGCACGTGTTCACACTGAAACAAAGCAAAACAAAATTCCTTCAACAGCTTTTCTCATCTCAATAAATGGTACTACACTGTGCCTGTATGACTCATGCCCAAAACCTAGAGGTCGACCTAGGTTCTTTTTTTCCCCATGACTCTCCATTTCCAAGATTTCCGTTTCTTCCGTGAACACTTCTCAAAGCCACACCCATCTCTCTGTCAGAATACCACAATGCATTGCAAATCTGCCTCCCCACTTGTCATCTCCTCCCTAAATGCTCTATTTTCACAGTAGTCAGAGTGGCTTTTTTTTTTAAAGCACACAAGATCTTGACTCTTCATTCCCTACTTTCTGCTTTAACTCCTTGTTTGGCTTTCCTCTGCTAATATAAAGAAAAATTTCCAACTTCTTTTTAATGACCATAGATCCTGGCTTGATGTTTTCTACCTACCTCTCCAACCACGTCATACACTTCCCTTCTTTTCTTATCACACCCAAAACATTCTTAATTATTTCCACAGTCTTTGTATATGCCAACCCTTTTTCTGCCTCTAGAATTTTGTGCTTGTTTCTCTTTCTTTCTAAAATAAGCTTTCTTGGCTTTTTGTAAAATTAGATCATTGTTCTTTGAAATCTCGGCTAAGAAGTTTTCTGAAATACCTTAATTAAAGTTCCTTCCCTGGTTACTAGCAGTCTCCTCACTTCGTTTATTTTTATTGTAATCTTTAATGATTGCTTTCTATTTGTTTGACTTCTTGATCAACTCAAATTTGTATCCTCAGCTCTTATCAAAATACTAGGTAACTACACACTTATTAAAACAACTAAACATAAAAATAGTGACAACAAAAGCTGGCAATGATGAAGAAACTGTATCATTCATACATTATTTGAATTGTAAAATGTTATAATACTCTGGAAATAATTTATCAGTTTCTTTAAAAACTAAACATATATTTATAATAAGATCCAGCAATTGCACCCCTGGAAATTTATCTAAGAGAAATGTAAACCTATATGCGATCTTTAATATCTTTCATAGCACCTTTAATTCTAACAGAGAAAAACTGGAAACATCCAAGATGTTGGACAGGTGAATGGTTGAATAAACTGTGGTATATCCATATGATTAAATACTACCCAGAAATAAAAAAGAATATACTTTTGACACATGCAATAACTTGCATAGATCTGAAGGGCATTATGCTTAGTGAAAAAAAGCAAATATCAAAAGGACACATGGCATATTATTTCATGTATATAACTTTAATAAAATAACATACATATAGAAAACAGATTAGTGATTTCCAGAGGTTAGTGATGGTATGGGAATGTGAGATGAATATGGCTATAAAATGTGAGGAAGACACTTTTAGTGATGGAAGAGTTCTGTAACTTAATTGTAATAATGGTCACATTAATCAATACGTGATAAAATTGGCATAGACCTATGAATTCACATTGTATAAATGTCAATGCCTGGTCCTGATATTGTACTAAATTATACAAGATGTAACTCTTGAAATAAACTGTGTAGAATAGTACACGAGACCTCTCTGTATTTGAAACTCCCTATGGATCTAAGATCTTTTCAAAATAAAAAGCTAAAAAATGCTAAGTGTTCAATAAATAAAATAGTAACTGTATTTTATCCAATTCTTACCATATAAAAATGCTTCACATACATTAACTCATACAATTCAGTCTATAGCAAGATCATATTGATGCCATTATTAGTCCTAATTTATGGCCTAGTAGCTTGTTCAAGGTCACATAGCTAATAGGAGGAAGGGTTATGATTTTAATCCAAGCAACCAGCTCCAGAGAATGTGCTACCAACTGACACATCACAGCGTTTCTCAAAAATAATTCTGGATGGAAGGAAAGAAGGGAGTTAAGGAAGGAGAGAGAGAAGGAAGGAAGGAAGGAAGGAAGGGAGGGAGGGAGGGAGGGAGGAAGGAAAGAAAGAAGGAAAGAAGGAAGGCTGGAAGGGAGGGAGGGAGGGAGGAAACAGGGAAAGAAGGAGGGAAGGAAGGAAGATACAATAAAGGAAGGAAGGAAGGAAGGAAGAAAGATACAATAGCCAGTATATTTACTCAAAGAGAAGACATCATAAAACCCTTTTAACAAACACAGCCTGACGTCTCAAATTCCTTCTCCATTCAACTTCCTTGACTGTAGAGTCCTATTCAGGGTCAAGGGAAGGAGAAATCAAACTAAAGATCATAACGCTGCATGTATGTGGCATTGTATTGCCAGAGTTCTCTGAGTAAACCTTTCTAGAGATGCACATTTTGCACTCTATTGGAAAAGTTATCTTAGTTATAATGTTTCTGAAGATGCATTTGCCATATTGAAAGCAAGCAGTCACATACAATTTGATAGACACCAGCACAAATGACAATAAAAACTTGGTAAAGTTGAAGAGACTGCCTTTGTTATATCTAATATTCTATCACCCCAGATCTATCTTCTCAAATCTCCACATTACTTAGCCTAACCCTATTTTTCTATTTTCTAGAGGAGCCCACCACATTGATCAGGTTGATTTATTCACATTTTCCCAAAAATGCTAGGTAGATTCCTTCCTAAATCCATTAGTAAGTTATAGTCTGTATTCCCCATGGATGAACTGTGTTCACCAGTTATGACTCTTAGGAGGAACTTCATAGAAGATCTTCAGTGGCATCTATTGGTACATGTTGGACATTAACTAAAAATGTATAGTTTTAGCAACCAACAGATTCTATTCTTATACCTGTTGGTCATGTCCAGGCAGTTATGTGTAAAATAATTACACAATGTTTCAAAATTTCAAGATGTTTGCCTACCTATATAGTGTCCTTCACTCTCCTCTCCAGCTTTCCAAATAATATCCATAATTCAAAGACCAGTTAAATCCTACAGGCATATTCACAGAATAACTGCCCTGAAAACATTGCTTAAATTAATGAGACCATCTATGGGCAATGCATCTTCAAGAGCTCAAGATCTGGTGAAAAAATGGAAACAAAGATGAAATTTCAATACAATGTGATGAAAATTTTAAATTATTTCTCTCTTGCAAATTTCCATTGCTTGTTTGAACATTCAGGAGAATAGTACTGCTTTCCCATTGAATGTATAAATAAATGTAAGAATGAAGGTTGGCCCTCCCTCCAAATTCATTAAACATTAAATTTTTTAAGTAAAAGATAAGAGGGCTGTATGAAAATTAAAATTCATAATTACTTCCAATATAGAAAATAATTGAAATAGATAAAAACACAACCAAATAGAAATGGATATTGCTAAAAATCACCTTCTTAATTAAATTAGTAACAAAAGTGAAATTATTGTTCTATCCATATTGGTGACATTGCTTCTTAAATTATTCAAATTAAAATATATTCTACTGGTGAGTTCAGGAAAAATTGACAATAAACAAATAGTATCATACACAAAGAAATATAACTCACTGTTTTAGCCTAGCAACTAGTGTTTACAGAACAAGTTACAGATTATTCTGCAATAAGAAACAATCCTAAAGTGTTTTTAACCTTAAATCAAAATTCAAATTAGAATTAGAAATGAAATGATGTTCTCATTTCAGCAATGAATACAGAAGTGAAATCACTTGATTTTTCTGAAGACTGTATTTTTCAGTGTTCATCTGGATTTAACACTTTAAAGAATACCTTTTATTCCTTAAATAACATTCAGTTTGTGAAAGTAAGCACACCTTTTTCAGCTCCGCTTATTCTGCAGAAGGATCCTTCCATATCAAGGATTAACACAATATGCATCGTGGGTTCACAAAGTTCAGTTTGCAGCTATCCTTAGCAAATCATGAGAACCATCTGGACTGATTGATGTGGAGATTGAAAGTAATTGATCCTGCCATTGAGAAACTTTTTGAAACATGAAATTAAACAAGATGATATTAAGCATTCTGAAGTCCATCAGAGTGGCACATCAAATGTGTTACTAGCTGTTCATTTTCCTTTGTATTTTTATAAAGACCCTTGGCTAGCAGAATGGAACAGAAATAGAAGCTAAAAGATCTAGATATTGATGTAGTGATCAAAGGCATACAGCTGGTTTACTTTGTTATAATAATATTTTATGTGGTACATGAAGACTTTGATCCCTTGACAAATGTCCTTTGTAGGTGAGCAATTATTAATAGGATTGTAAGTCTTAATATGCAAGGATCACCATTAATAAAAGTAGACTATTGTAAAGTGAATTAGCAATAATTTTACTTATGAATAAAAACTTATACTATTTCAGGTCATTTTCTTATTGTTTCTTGAAAAAAGAAGTCCTTTATAAGTCCAGTTAAATATTACCTAATTTTTGCATAAAATTTCATGGTAAACAAGGCTTATTTTCTTACTTTACTGATGTCTAAAAGCTAAATTTCACTGGTGATATATCATTTGTTTAAGACTAGGTAACTGATAACCTAAGCTGAGACCCAAAATTTGTTATTTTCTTTATTTCCAGCACAATATTTTCCATCATGGTAAAAGAAGCTATGTTTCTTTAGCAAGACAATTGAAAAGCATAAACAATGGTTTACTAGAAAGATTTTTAATATTCCATATTATTTACAACTGTTTGCTTATTTCCATGTATAAAATGACATTGATTCAATAGACTTTTTCCACATTTGCATGATATTCAGCTATAACATTAACTCAGGCAATATTCATATGGCTCCAGAATTAAACCGGTATCTGACCTCCCAATTGAATTAGACGATAGGCATTTTGTGATTTGAGGAAGACATCCTATGAATTTACAAATGTCCAGAAAGTTATACAAAAGAAAAACAAAAGACTTTAGTCTAGTTAAAAGTAGTGCTACTATTTCTTGAAATTCTGAAAGCTGTAATAAGTATCACTCCCAAATCTGGGGATAAAGTACAGAAAATGGCAGCTCCCAATATAATCTTGGACATATTTGTCATTAAGAAGCACAATGAAATATGACAAATTGTACAGCAACTTTTAAAAATTGCTAATAACTCTTTGTTTATCTCAGTAGTAAAATTTAAATACTGATCCAACCTGACACATATGAACATAACATACCTATTCTGAAAGACAAAGAATATGTATCAATATTTATATTATATTTAATACAAATCATGGAATATAGAATTATAGAATTGTGCCTACTTACCTAGAAAATATTACCCCAATTTTGTTTTTCTAAGCTTCAAGAGAGATTTCTTGGAGAAAATGAGATTTTATAAGCAATGCTAGCAAAAAAAGACAACTTAAAAGATTATGGAGAAAAAGGCGTATTTTAGATACAAAACACAGATTGAGAAACACTTAGGGGCAAGAAGTAATGCATCACTGGCCAATGTAAATGAACCGTTTAGGCAGTAAAATGTGTCCAAGCAAGTGGTGAGTATATCCTGTTCTCTTTTATATATCTAGACAAGTGATTTCAAACACCCACGTGGAGCCCTGAGACCCTGGGTGTTCACCTAATGTAAGCCCCAATATAGGAGCTGAGGTCAACTAATTGAGGGAATATGTCCAACAATCAATAAGCAAATTAGAATGAGCTAACTGTCACACATTCTTACCCTCATCCCTTTGCTGCATTAACTGAGCAAACAGCTCTCTCTAACTATGTAGGAAAAGTGTTAGTACTCAAATAAAAAGGTAAATTTAATAATCTGCTTAAGGCTGTATGAAAAAATGAAGCAATGTGTATCAGGTTTCTTCAAATATATGCATATTGCAATCCACCCTTATTTACCCTCGATTGTAAGAGCTAAAAGCAGGCCGGGCACGGTGGCTCATGCCTATAATCCCAGCACTTTGGGAGGCTGAGGTGGGCGGATCACGAGGTCAGGAGATCAAGACCATCCTGGCTAACATGGTGAACCCCGTCTCTATTAAAAATACAAAAAAATTAGTTGGGTGTGGCGGCGGGCGCCTGTAGTCCCAGCTACTCAGGAGGCTGAGGCAGGAGAGTGGCGTGAACCCGGGAGGCAGAGGTTGCAGTGAGCCGAGATCACACCACTGTACTCCAGCCTGGGCGACAGAACGAGACTCTGTCTCAAGAAAAAAAAAAAAAAAAAAAAAAGGAAACATTTTGCAAATGTTGAATTTAAATGCATATTTCTGCTTTCATATAGCTTATATGATAATAAAGCTATATGCACCAGCAGATATATTAAGTTTTATATTATATAACATATTATATATATTTTACACTAGATAATGGAAAAATGGTACCTATTATGTTGGTGACCACAATTTTGGCAGCCTTAGAAAAACTTCAGGGCCGGGCACGGTGGCTCACACCTGTAATCCCAGTACTTTGGGAGGCCGAGGCGAGCGGGTCACGAGGTCAGGAGATCGAGACCATCCTGGCAAACACGGTGAAACCCCCTCTCTACTAAAAATACAGAAAATTAGCCAGGTGTAGTGGCGGGCGCCTGTAGTCCCAGCTACTCGGGAGGCCGAGGCAGGAGAATGGCGTGAATCTGGGAGGCAGAGCTTGCAGTGAGCCGAGATTGCGCCACTGCAATCCAGCCTGGGCGACAGAGCGAGACTCTGTCTCAAAAAAACAAAAAACAAAAAACAAAACAAAAAAAAACTTCAGAGCATAAGCCAAAACAATTAGAAATAGCATGGCTTTAAATTAATTTTTCAAGAATCTTAAGGTGACAAATATTCTGTCATCTGTCATGCAAATCTAGTTCCACAGAAGGGCAAATTAGGAATCCATTACCTGGAAAAACCATTCCTCATGCCTAGAAGAAGAATCTCTACAAGTAGGATTCTTGCTTTCAACATGCCCTTATAAATTGGAGTCAGACTGAATCATTTTTTCTTGGCAATGGACAAGAAAATCAGACTGTAACTGTAGCTTTGTCACTGAGAATTGGTCAACCATTTCAAAATAGGTTAAGTTTTCTCCCTCTGATGTTTCTACTGGGGCTTGAAGGATTGATAAATATGCTTCTATTCTCTGTCAGAATTTTGAACTAAGGGAGAGATACCAAAGATTCAGGCAGATGGAGATCAAGATGGCAGGTTTATTTTTAAAGGAGCTATGGGGAATCTTTGTGGTGACAATAGATTTTTCTGTTACTGTAGACACACATACCTTCCCAGCCACAAGTGGTGCTAGACAACTGCACACCTCTCCATCCCACCTCCCATCCCAACAGATACATAGGCATTTTCTTCAGATGTTGATGAAAATAATTATTTTATCACTATATCCAGATAATTCCAACAAGCAATATGCTTGTTGAGGTGAAATAATTTTTCTAAGATACAAACAGAAAATATATACGATTGAAATAGACACTAGGTGATATTTCACATATGCAATATGAGCTCTGTTTCTTTGACAAGACAGATGAATGAAGAATTCATGTTTGAATGATTGGCATTAGTCTAAAGTATTAAATAATGAAAGTGTCCATATTCTCTGCCCAGTATGATCTTTTAAAATATCATCCACACAAATACAAGTGAGGTCATATTTTTTACAATGAGGCATCAAATTTAAAGGCAGCAAAAAAGTAATGAATATACCTCTTAGGCTAATTGTTTACCTTAGTGGCTTTAATGATATGGAAAGTTGAAGTTTAGAGTGAGAAAAGCACCAAAAAAGAAACTAATCAGTCTCCTGACTTTCATATCTGGTAGTCTTAGAATGAATGTCAGAACTGTCACAGGTCAAATAATGGCCCAGTATGTTTTCAAATAAGTGACACTGAACACCATGTTTTAGAAGTACATGATTGTCCTTCTTGATGTTAATCTCACAACTTAAGGACATGCTTGCCAAACATCATAATTTCTTTTAATAACTCATGTCAGATAAATCTCCAGTGGAGACCTATGCTCTGGACTCCAGACTTATGCCAAGTAGCCTAATTACTATCTCCACTTGCAGGCAAAATAGGCATCTCAAAGCGAACATACCTCAAAAAGAGCTCTTAATCTCCTACTATTCTCCCCACTTACCCAGCATCTTCCCCATTCTCACCTTCTCTCATCATGTTCCTCATATCAGGAGGTAATAGACTCCATCCTTATAGTTATACAGTTATTAAGCCACGAAACACCCTGTTTATACCCTTGGCAGCCCTATTTTTTTCTTTAATTATACTTTAAGTTTTGTGATACAGGTGCAGAACATGCAGGTTTGTTACATAGGTATACATGTGCCATGGTGGTTTGCTGCACCTATCAACCTGTCATCTACATTAGGTATTTCTGCTAATGCTATCCCTCCCTTACCCCCCACCCCCTGACAGGCCCTTGTGTGTAATATTCCCCTCCCTGTATCCATGTGTTCTTATTGTTCAACTCCCACTTATGAGTGAGAATATGCAGTGTTTGGTTTTCTGTTCCTGTGTTAGTTTGCTGAGACTGTGGTTTCCAGCTTCACCTATGTCCCTGCAAAGGACATGAACACATTCTTTTTTATGGCTGCATAATATTCCATGGTATATATGTGCCACATTTTCTTTATCCAGGCTGCTATCATTGATGGGCATTTGGGTTGGTTCCAAGTCTTTGCTATTGTGAATAGTGCTGCAGTAAACATACATGTGCTTGTGCCAACCCCATCAAAAAGTGGGCAAAGGATGTGAACAGACACTTCTCAAAAGAAGAAATTTATGCGGCCAACAAACATGAAAAAAAGCTCATCATCACTGTGCCGGGTCCATCCCGCAGACCCTGGCTGAGCAACAGAAGAAAGGAGTACTCAGACACAAATATACAGGGTAAGAGCAGGCTAGGAGGCTGCGAGCCCTAGGGGCAGAGGAGAGTTAGCAGTCTCGATAAGCCAGAGCTGCTTGTATTTATTCAGTACTGGTATAACGTCCAAGGCCTGGAGTCAACACAATTGCTGGGTAATTAACATTTTTGCTCCCTCTTACAGGGAGCAGTCTCATGCTCAGAAGTTCAAAAGTCAGTTTCCTGATGACATAAGTAAACAAGCATATTTAGATAAACTTCTTCACTTTTCCTTGCACCTACTTCTCACCCTTAGCCTCAGAGAAAGAGAATTTTCTTCCTTCACCTTTATTCTCTCATGAAGCTTTTGCAAGACCTTCCAACCTTTCAAGAAGGCTTGCGTCTTTCCTTATAGCTTCTCCCACCACCCTGACCGATCTCCCACATCACTGGTCATTAGAGAAATGCAAATCAAAACCACAGTGAGATACCATCCCAAGCCAGTTAGAATGGCGACCACTAAAAAGTCAGGAAACAATAGACACTGGAGAGGATATGGAGAAATAGGAATGCTTTTACACTGTTGATGGGAGTGTAAGTTAGTTCAACTGTTGTGAAAGGCAATGTGGTGATTTCTCAAGATTCTAGAACCAGAAATACCATTTGACCCAGCAATCCCATTACTAGGTTTCTACCCAAAGTATTATAAATCATTCTACGTTTTTTTTGACATGGAGTTTCACTCTTGTCATCCAGGTTGGAGTGCAATGGCATGATCTTGGCTCACTGCAACCACCACCTCCTGGGTTCAAGTGATTCCCTTGCCTCAGCTTCCTGAGGAGCTGGGATTACAGGCACCCGCCAACATGCCCGGCTAATGTTTGTATTTTTAGTAGAGACAGGGTTTCACCATGTTGGCCAGGCTGGTCTCAAACTCCTGACCTCAGGTAGTCCACCCATCTCAGCCTCCCTAAGTGCTGTGATTACAGGAGTAAGCCACCATTCCCAGCCACCCTCATTTTTTTATAGCTCATACTATGTTAACAAATTTTATCAATAGTAATTCAAAACATCTTCAGATTCTGTTCCTGTCTCACCACCATCACTACCCCCCTGATTCAAACCACCATCTCTCCACTCTCCAGTTAGGTTTACTGCTATAGCCGCCTAACTGGTCTTCCTACTTCCCTGTAGCCCCTTGCCTTCAGTCTATTCTTGTTTCTGCAATTAGGGTGATTCTTTAAGAATAAGTCAGACCGAGCCATTCTTCTCTTAAAACCCTCCAATGACTTCACTCTCCATCCCACTCAAGGTATTAGTTTCCTCAGGCTACTGCAACAAATTACCACCAACTGAGTAGGTTAAAAGTACAGAAATTTATTCTCTCACAGTTCTGGAGGCTAGGAGTTGAAAGTAAGGTGTCATCAGTCTCAGGGTCTCTGAAGGCTCCAGGGGAGGATCCTTCCTTGTCTTTTCCTAGCTTCTCACAGTTGCCATCAATCCTTGGCATTCTCTGGCTTGTAGTTACATGACTCCATTCTCTTCCTTCATCTTCCCATACTTTATCCACTGTGTGTTTTTCTAAATATCCACGTTCTTACAAGCACACTAGTCATTTGATAAGGGCCCATCTGAATCCACTTAACTTGATTGACTAGGCAAGATTTTATTTCCAAGTAATGTCATATTTACAAGTACTGAGAGTTGGGATTTGAACATCTTTTTGGGGAAGACACAATTCAACCCACATTACTCACATCCCAAAGCTCCTTACCATGCACGCATCTCCAGTCCTTTGGTATTCAAAGTGTGATACACAGACCAGTAGCACCAGCATCCCCTGAAACTTGTAAGAAATATAAACTCTCCAGACCACCTGAATCAGAATCTTTATTTTAATGTGAAACCTTGGTGATTTATATGCAAATTAGAATTTGAGACACATACCCCTCAAAACGACCTGCCTACTTTTCTTATTATTTCATCTGCTCCTCACTCCATATCACTCTGTCATTACTCTGCTTGTGTCATATTGGCCTTTTTGATATTCCTGTAGTGCCTGGACTATTCCTTCCCCAGATATTTGCATGGGTTATTTACTCATCTGCACCAGATATAAAGATATAGTTATTATATATAGTGATATATAATTATACATATGTTATCACACATATATAAAACACAGTGCAGTTGTTCCTGGTTAATCTATTTTAAATATACATCCTATCAACCCCATTCTTCTTCCTTGCTTTTTCTAATTCAAAAGTATTTATTTTCACAAATTTTTATCCACA
The DNA here is from genome assembly GCF_000001405.40 of Homo sapiens. NCBI lineage: Eukaryota > Metazoa > Chordata > Mammalia > Primates > Hominidae > Homo > Homo sapiens. Next base: position 40,165,762 of record NC_000009.12, read on the forward strand.
GCTAAATATTACAGTGACTATTCCAAGCATTTTTCTATAAAGAAAATCTGTAGTTTACAGATTTGTTCAAAGTGGAAAAATATTTTCATCAGTAGTCTTTCTTCCCTGGTGTTAGGTTCACCCCTGAATATGTTCTGAACTCTTCCGGAGAGGCAGTCCTTCATCTAAATGTCAGTGGGTGGCAAAATGTTATATTCAAATCTGGATTATTCTGACACAGTGTCACTTCAGAAAGTAGCTTAGTTTCATTTCTGGTTGATCCCCTTTGTTAGAATTAGGAATTTAAAAAAAAAATCTTTTGTATGTAATGATCTTTATAATAATAATAAATCCTGCCCTGTGTTTGTCATTGGCATTAACCTCTGTCTACACCCTCTGATTCTCTAATTATGGCTCCAGTGGGTACAAAAGGTGAATTATGGTTATTTGGCTCATGCAGCAAATTAATTGGAGAAACTGATGACAAATAGTCTGTGAAGAACTACAAGGTCTTGCCCCATGCTGTCCCATTTTAGTTACCATTTAGTTATGTAGGCATTACACAAATGCCTCAAATTAGGACACCTTTGCTGTCTCAGTAGGTCGAGTGTATGAAAATTTACTTTATGCAGAAGAAATAAATTCTAATTTATTGGTTACCAGAATCTTAATGTATGAAGGTTCTAAGTAAATATTTGATGAATTGATGGTAGCAGCGTTAATTTTTAAATGTTCCAAGCTCCTAGTTTTTTCGTTTTGTTTTTACAAAAGCCTTAAAGTTTGGTACTAAGGAAATCAAAGAATCAACTACCACCATCATGCTTCAGGGAAAGGGAAAAATGTCTACCTTTGGGTCTAATCTGCCTCCCAGGCGAGCCTACAGGTACTAGAACTCTAACTGCAACTATGATGGCACAGGGAAAATGCATGTATGTAATATGCTTGTCGGCTTCAGCAACAACTCATGTATACATACACATTTACTATATGTAAACAGGTCCCGTATAATACTTAAAACACAAGTGTTTGATCTATAAATATTTGATTCTTAGTATTTAAAATGCTTCTAATGTTTTAAAAGACAAAACTCCACCATGATATCACATTGAACATTAAAATTATTCCCACAGCAACACTTTTTTCAGAGAAACAATTGAGAAGTCAGTTATCTTAGTCACCACTAAAGGCACCTGGTGAGAAAAGCCTGAACTAAATTTTAAATATTAAAAAATTAAAGAGACATCTAGTGCAGAGTTCAAACCTTTATGTTGAATTGTTTAAGAGTCATTACTGATTTCATGACGCTGATAAGTGTTTGAGATGAAATGATTTTTTAAAATGCAGAGAAAATGCTAACAGAATATTATATAGTTCCCCTAAAGATGCTTCTTCTAACCTCCAAGTATTAAATAAGATTGATCTAAATGTTAAGTACATATAAAGTATATATTTGCTAGTCATCTATAAATTTTAAGTACAATTCCAGTGATATACCTGTATCTTTTGGAAGAGAAGAACTAAACCTGCCGTTTCTTAGGCTAAGTAGACAATTCATAAGGTCCTTCCTTCCCCATTTATTCTGATTGCCAAGCTTTTGTTCAGTAAGCTCTTGGCATCTAGTGATTAACCAGTGACAGCAGACAGTAGTGTTCCTTGTGTTCCATATCGTATTTGCCATCCTCAATGTCTTCCAGGTGAGTTTTGCAGTGCAGGACTTTCAGGAAGATTTTATTCCTGTAGGACAAATTAATGATAGAAACACAAACAAGAGTAGGAATGGGGAAGGATTTCAGCCCAGAGGAAGCCTCAGCTCTAAAGAGCAGTAATAATGAGAATTCAATGAGATGGAAAGAACACATTCTTCTGATCCTATGGAACCTCATGCTTTTTATCACCTACATTATAATTTAGTGCCATTTCCCAGTCTCTGCTAAATACCCTGATTACACCAGTAAAAGGAAAATCCCCATTTGTCTAAGATTATCTTGATGCAGTCTATTATCTCCTAAATGAAAATCCTGTCTTTGTGAGGACAGGGATTGCCCTTTTCTTGTTCATCACTATACCTCTATGCCTGATAGAGACCTTGGTACAGAGTAGGTTCTCAATAATCATTTGAATGAAATAAATCCTATGTACCACATAGCAGCTTCTCTGGAAACATCAAAAATCAAAGAACGAATGTCCTGTGAATGCCAGACAATCTGCTTGATTGTACTACAATGCAAAAAACATCTTCTTTGCTCTCCTGCAGCACGTAACTAATTACAATGCAGACCAGTTTGTTAGAAGAAATATAACAGAGGTATAGATAGCAAGCCTTTAAACCACAAAGAAGGAAGTGATTAATTCTGTTTCACCCAATGGAGAGGTGATAATACAGGAAAAAACCTGCCCAAGGATTGAGGCCACTGTGAGCTTGTGAAGAGGCAGAGGCTGGAGGTGCACTTGAGATACTGCTTTCAGGATGCTTGTGCCAAGAACATATGAACCTTAATTTCTGTTACTGGGCCTGTGTCTCCAAGTTATAAAGTTCATATGTAATGACCTTCATGATATGCCTCATTTGGAAGGAACTAGTTATCCCACCCCATAGCCAAGATTCTCATCACAACTATGTGAGGAATATTGTAGACACAAGAGGTGTATAAATAGCATAACCAACAGGACCTCCAGTTCTCAACCAAAGGAAAATGGGAAAATAGAAAATATCCTCCTAACATCATAACATTTAGAGTCCCTTGGTGTGGACCAACTGCCTCTCATTGAACAGTATCATGTACTGGACTCATTCCATAAACTCAGATAGAAAAAGAAGTAGTACAAATTTAACACCAGGTTAATAGTACTTTCTCTTTTGCTGGACAATAGACTATAATTAAAATGCACTTCTTTTTAATCTTTTTTTCTCAGGGATTATTCAGTTTACTCTTTGGATGCCTCTAGGATCTGAAGGTAAGAGCAATGACAGTTTCATGTTTCTAGAAAAGCGTGAAGTGCTTCTGGCATGTTGAAGTTACGATAGCTTCTTTTTAACAATGCAGGTACAGGAAGCTTTGCTGAATAAGTTTTCATTGTCGAGATGGTCTTCACCACACTCAAAGGTAAACCTTTTCTCTGCAGATACTTTTCGTTTTATAACCTCATGTATTCCACTAGCATTCTGAAGTACAGAGTACTAAATTTTTTCTTCAGGATTTTGATTAATTAGGCTAAATATATTGCATCCTCAAACCCATCTCCCTCAACAGCTATATTTGGCATAGATCATTCCATTGTTTTTGCTTCTCAAGTCATTCTGCCTATTAAACAGAGCCATAGAGCTGTCATTGAGATGCTACTCCACATATTTAAATAGGGTTTAAAATAATATATGATATAAACTGAAGGTTGAAATCAAATGTTCAATGAGAAGCAGTCTTCTGGGGGGATTCAAGGCATTAGAGAAAACAAGTTGAAGAATAATAATGGATAAAATTTTCTATAGTTCATTGTGGAACATAACTATTGCCCTTGGATATATCTGACTGCCTTTCACATGTCAGAAAATACTAGAAGCCTAACAAACAATAAAACTTGTATTTGACAGTTATTTTTCTAATACAGATGACAAGATTCCAGTATTTTAATGTGACCTCTGGGAGTGGGACTAGAGATGCCGGCAGTGACCACTAGAGGGTGGAAAATCAATCCTTCTAGGGATGTAAACAGCTTTGGTCCCACAAATTTGCTTTGTGATTTTCCCTTTTTTTCTCTCTTCTAGTCAACATCCCTGGGTTCATCCACACCTGTGTTTTCTATGAGTTCTCCAATATCAAGGAGATTTAACAGTTTGTTTGGTAAAACAGGTGAGTAGTGGCCTCTATGTTCTCCCTGCTTGCCCAGAACACATTTGGTCAAATGGGGAGCCTCAACACCCCTACTCTTTCACCCCAATCATGGCATTTACCTAAAATGTCCTCTTTTGGGGTAGAGGTTAAATAGAGGAACTTACATTTTCACAAATCACCAAAAAGTGGGTACAGAGGGCAGCTGCCTTTGTTGGGAACTTATAATAACTCATAAAGAATAAGATTTGGAGAATCTAGACAATGATTTGGAGAGCTGTCTGTCAAACTATCATCCATCAAAATGAGAACTGTAAATTGCTGGCCTTGTCAAACACAGAGTTCTTCTCAAATTATGTCAAATAAGAGTAGATAGGTGATGTTTCAGGGTTACGGGGCAGCAAAGAATACAGTTAGAAAATCTTACTACAGGATCTCACTATTTAGGTTTGTTTTCCTTTTGTGTTCTTTTTATAAAGTGTGCTTGTGTTACACATGGAAGCACATAGAAGTGTGCATGCATTACATAAGGGATCACCCTAGTTAGCTATTCTATTAGAAATATTCACAGTTAAATTTCTACCTTGGAGATTTGAAATGAATGGAATTAATAACTTTGGGCAACAGATCTCAGCTATTCTAGCAAATTGAAACCCCTGTCCCATGCCACCATCCCTCCCCCACAGGAAAATAAGCCCCAGGATTTCTTCTAGCTTTTTGAAACTCAACAGATCTCACAAATGCAGAGTTGAGAAATGTATCAATGTTCCACATTAAGGCTTTTCATATACAAGCAAATTTTGTGAATGCCTATAACTGTTAAAACTCCAGAGGACTTGGGTTCTTTTCTGCTTCAATTTGATGAATTACCCATGAAACTGGGGGACCTTCACTTCTGATTATGAAAGTCCCAATTGGGCATGTTTGGGGGCCCCATAAGTACCGTAACTTTGGTTTATGTTGTCAGCAGCCCCTAAGATCCCCCCAGGCCATGACGGAAACTTTGTTAGCGGTGGTGGCGGTTCAGCAATTTGATGGTAGGGTGGGCACTTCAACCCTTTTCTTGCCCGACACACACTCTCCACGCACTCCCTGTGCACAGTCCCCACCTCCCCGCAGACACAAGCCTGTGCAGTTGCTCAGAGGCTGCCTTCCTTGCTGCACTGATTCTCAGCAGTTCTGTTGACGTTCCTGACTCCTGCTTCTTTTCTGGTCCTGCCTTTTCTCTCCCTATAATTTTCTCTTTTCTTTCCCTTTACTCTCTTTACAAACCTCCACTTTCAGTAGAGCCTCCAGGTGCCTCCCAAGAGCTTCTGTAAGTCACCACAACCCAAGAGGACCAGGGAGATTCCCTCATGCAGATGTTCCCAGACCATGCACGTGATGGCATATGGAGGGCTTCCCACCTTGACATCTTCCCGTCCTTTGTAGAAACCTGGCTGCTGGTATGATGTGAAGTAGTGACTGCTTGTTGGCTGCCACACATGCATGAGAACGACAACTCTGTTAGTTCTCTGGCATTTCTAGCTCTTGGGAAGAGGGCAGGTATGGGTTGGTTTCCAGGCATGGCCGAGTTTACCTAGTGCCTAGACCACTGCTCCCCTGGGTCCCTTAGGAGATGTTCACACCCCAAAGTTCATGATGGCTTGTCTTCAAGGCTGAGTTGCTGCTCTGTTTTTCAGGAACATATAATGTTTCCACCCCAGAAGCAACCAGCTTATCCCTGGAAAACTCATCCAGTGCTTATTCGTTGCTCAACTAAGAACAGGATAATCCAACATACGTGACCTCCTGGGGACAGTGGATGGATGTGCTTTTAAAAAGAGATCCTTGCAAAGCAATGGAGAATGTGTTCTTGGGGCAGGTTTCCAGGAGCAGATGTCAAAAAGACTTTCATAGAGAAGAGGCTTTCTTTTGTAAAGACAGACTGAAAATAATTGTTATGTTTATGTTTGTTCCCTCCCCCTCCCCCTTGTGTGATACCACATGTGTATAGTATTTAAGTGAAACTCAAGCCCTCGAAGGCCCAACTTCTCTGTCTATGTAATATAGAATTTCAAAGAGACATTTTCACTTCCTACAAATTGGGCACAAAGATAAGCTTTGATTAAAGTAGTAAGTAAAAGACAACCTAGGAAATACTTCAGTGAATTCTAAGAAGGAAGGAAGGAAGAAAGGAAGGAAAGAAGGGAGGGAAACAGGAAGAAAGGGAAAAAGAAGAAAAAGAGAAAGATGAAAATAGGAACAAATATAGACAAACAACATTAAGGGCCACGTTTTAAGATTTCCATGTTAATGATCTAATATAATCACTCAGATAGTGCAACATTGAGAATTTTTTTTTAATGGCTCAAAAATGGAAACTGAAAGTAAGTCATGGGGAATGAATACTTTGGGCAGTGTCTTCCTGATGTCTTCTTAGCTAAGAGGAGAAAAAAAAGGCTGAAAAAATAGGGAGGAAATTCCTTCATCAGAACGACTTCAAGTGGATAATAATATTTATAAGAAATGAATGGAAGGAAACATGATTCTCCTGAGGATAACTTTGTATGTTAAGGTTTGAACTAAGTGAATGTATCTGCAGAGGAAGTATTATAAAGATACGTCATTAGATCCAAGTGCTGATTAAATTTTTATAGTTTATCAGAAAAGCCTTGTATTTTAGTTCGTTCCATATTTTGAAAGCAAAAAATATATATTTTATATACCTTTCAATTGCCAAATTTGATATATCGCACTGAAGACAGACCCTGTCATATATTTAATGGCTTCAAGCAGGTACTTCTCTGTGCATTATAGAATAGATTTTAATAATCTTATAGCATTGTACATTATTATTGCTGTTGTCACTGTTATTGTTACTGTGGATAATGGCCCTTGGTGTGTTGCATAGCTCCCTAGGTATTCTCTGTTTCCATCTTTACTTTCCCAGACCAATATACATTAAGAATTTTGCATGGTCTAACTTGTGTTTATTCCAACCACTTGGAAAGCTCCTGAAAAGAAATTTTACATTTGGCTGTTCTGTGCTCCTAATGACACTTGACCTTGTTGAACAAATGGCAGAGACTTTCCCAAGGATTTGATTGTTTGTGAATTATCTGCATGTGTGCTTTTTTTCGTGTGTATGTATTTCATTAAAAAATATAAATACTTATGAAAATTGCATCCATATTAGAGTTAACCATGTGCTATGGATACAGCAACCCTACATTGCAAATAAAAGTCTGATCCCAAAAGGAGAATAAGACAAAAATAGAGATGTGGGGCTACTTAGGATATGTGGGCTGTGTGGCAACAGAAATGGGCCCAGCCATTAGGAAGATGGGGCAAAAGAGGCTGAGATTCAACAGCCATTTCTTTATTGAGGTTCAAAGGAGTTTTCTTTTAATATTTTAACCCTTTAAAATATCTTCTTTTTATTTTTAATTTTAAATTCTACTTAAATTCTACTTCTGCCTCTCTTTTCTTCATGGGGAAGGAGAGGTATGGGACAGAGGTGGGACAGTTGATGTAAATGAACTCTTTATTTCTACATATTCACAAATGACATAGACATCTACTTCCACATTTGCCTGAGAATTGTCACATCACTGTCCCAAATGAATGGTGCATTACTGAAAGTCCCTAAAGGAAATCATTGTTATGCTATAAATGCATGCCTTGTTCTTCAGGAATGATCAACTTTGGGCAGAGCTTGATACTAAGAAGATGGAGACAGAGGTTGGGTTGGGGGAAATCCCTTGAATTAGAATTAGAATTAGAGAAAGAAGGCCTTTGGCTGATTTGGTTCCTGGAGTTATATCAAGAAGAATCGAGCCAGGCTTGGAACACAATGTTAGCAGGGCTATCTTGACATGATCAATCAAGGAAAGCACACAGTATCAGGAGCAGGATGTGGTTGTCATGTTCAAAAATTCAGTGGGACAAGAAACGCTGAACTTCCACCCACTTCAGCCAGGATCCCTTGGGGAATCACTGTGTTCAACCCTGTGAAGGGAACTTTCATCGTAGCAGGAGCCTGTGGGAGTTACACAGGATGTGGATCTGGCCCACTGCTCCATTCGTTAACTGGGGCATGTTCCCTTATCCCCAACACACACAAATACACACATGCACACATGTGCACATGTGCACATACATGCATGTGTTTCACCCTTTCAAGCCACATACATGCATGTGTTTCACCCTTTCAAGCCACAGCACTGGGTCCAAATTCCAGAAAAGCTATGAAAGCAAATAATTGGAGAAACACTTGCTGGTTTTCTGCCCACTGCAATACAAGTTAGCCCAGCCACTACCCTTTCCCGGGAAAATCCTAAAATGAACAGTAGAATTCAAAATTGTAGAACAGCAGTTATGAAGCTGAGAATTTTATGAATGCAGGAGCCTCATTTGGCCCTGAGGTTGCCATCTCTCAATCAGTAATGATTACAAGGCTATTAGTAGCAGATTCCTGAGAATGAAGGCACATGGAGTTGTGCGATCTACTTTGTTCGTAAGGTGCCCAGTGCTTCCCTGTGTTCCTGACATCTCTCAGTGTATAAAGTCCATTCCCTGAGCCTAAACTTTCTTGCATTAAGAGCTTTCCATTAAGTCAGTTTCTTGCAAAGGGCTTTGTCCTAATGCGTCAGAGTCTGTGAGGTTAGAATATTCACAAATGAGAAGCTAATACAGATTATAGGAATATTCTCTGGGAATATTCTAAGTCCAGACTAACACATCATCTCTTGAGTAAGCCAGATGTCTGCTATCCTCCTCCCCCACTTCTTATTGTTTGCATGGGGAAATGGTTAAATAAATGTCTGTGGGGTTTTCAGGTTTTTGCTAAGGCCAGAAATTAAGAAAGACTGTGGGAAGTCACGGCCTTTTGTGGTTTGTATAGAGAATTTCAAAGAGATCCATGTTGGAATGCTTCAGAGAAAAAAAAAGTTACATGGAGCTGAGAAAGATTACAGTAATTAGTAAGTATAGAAAGGACGTGTGGGTGAGTTATTGAGGTGAATGGAGCAGGAAGTCACAATCATTTGAAGAAAAAAAGAAATAGGTGGTCCTAGAAATGCCAGGTAGGTGGAATGCGTTTATTTTGTGCCATGTGATGGTGAAGTCAAATAAGCCCTCCTCATCCAAAAGAGAAAACCCAGTGACCCAGGCCAGTAAAAGACTGATTTTTTAAGTGTCCAAAATGAAGGTGGAACTTACAGGGAACTTACCTCTTGATAGCGTTTTTAAAAGGGCAACCGGAATAGCATCTCATCATTTCGAGAGGACAGTAGTTTAGCTTTAATATTAGGTTCTGTTGGTTTCTAAAATTATCACTTGGGATTTAAAATCACATCATGTATACCAGCACACAAATATGCTTCCTTTCCATACTATAACAATGAAATATCTAATGAGATCTCGTGAGCTGTCTTATCGGGGGACCTGCCCCGATAATCACATAGGTTCTTTTCTATTTTCCTAAGTGTCGACTGGCTTGAGAAATAAAAGGACAGAGTACAAAAGAGAGAAATTTTAAAGCTGGGCGTCCAGGGGGAGATATCACACATTGGTAGGATCTGTGATGCCCCACAAGCCACAAAAACCAGCAAGTTTTTATTAGGGATTTTCAAAAGGGGAGGGAGTGTGCGAATAGGTGTGGGTGACAGACATCAAGTACTTAACAGGGTAATAGAATATCACAAGGCAAGTGGAGGCAGGGCGAGATCACAGGACCACAGGATGGAGGCGAAATTAAAATTGCTAATGAAGTTTCGGGCACCATTGTCATTGATAACATCTTATCAGGAGGCAGCGTTTTGAGATCAACCGGTCTGACCAAAATTTATTAGGTGGGAATTTCCTCTTCCTAATAAGCCTGGGAGCGCTATGGGAGACTGGAGTTTATTTCACCTCTGCAATCTCGACCATAAGAGACAGGTACGCCCCGGGGGGGCCAGTTCAGAGACCTACCCCTAGGTGCGCATTCTCTTTCTCAGGGACGTTCCGTGCTGAGAAAAAGAATTCAGCAATATTTCTCCCATTTGCTTTTGAAAGAAGAGAAATATGGCTCTGTTCTGCCCGGCTCACCGGCGGTCAGAGTTTAAGGTTCTCTCTCTTATTCCCTGAACAATTGCTGTTATCCTCTTCTTTTTTCAGGGTGCCCACGTTTCGTATTGCTCAGACACACATGCTGTACAATTTGTGTAGTTAACGCAATTATTACAAGGTCCTAGAACGATATACATCCTCCTCAACTGACAGGATTAAGAGATTAAAGTAAAGACAGGAATAGGAAATTACAAGGGTATTGATTGGGGAAGTGATAAGTGTCCATGAAATCTTTACAATTTATGTTTAGAGATTGCAGTAAAGACAGGCATAAGAAATTACAAAAGTATTAATTTGGGGAACTAATAAATGTCCATAAAATCTTCACAATCCACGTTCTTCTGCCATGGCTTCAGCCCGTCCCTCCATTTGGGGTCCCTGACTTCCCGCAACACTGTCTCTGTAGTAATTGTTTGCCTTCTTGCAATGTGGTGCTGCTGCCTCTCAGGCTTCCGCATGTCACCCAGAATGCAGCTCTATTCTCCAAACAGCAAACGATCCTTTCCATCTTCCAGGTATGGGGGAGGCCGGCAGCTCGCCCCTGAGCTCAACTGGCTGGCAGGGCTGATGGCTTCCCTCACACCATCCGCACTCCCAAGCCGTGTGCAAAGATCCAGCACGTTATAGAAGGTTTAAACAAGGGTCCTTGAAGTAAAGTTTTCAGAACCAGTTGTCTGGCGAACAAACAGATGCCTGTTCCAACATTTGTGTGAGGATGGCTTGAAATTTTCATTGACAGCTGAAAATAGAGCCCTCATGTCCTATAGATTAATATAAAGGATGTGAGGGCTCTATTTATCCTCTAGCACATTCTAGACGGAAACCAAGTTTCCCACTGTTAGTGGACAGAAGAAGAAAAGAGGGGAGATGGGCCAACTCCCGAAGTCCGCTCTATGCCAGACACAAGTTCTGATCTCCAAATATCATCTGTATGTGTCTGGGGTGGGCGTGGGGGCCTTGGTCGTGGTGTCCTATGATTCAGACACAACCGTCCTGTCTATTCTTTTTTTTTTTTTTGAGACGGAGTCTCACTCTGTCCCCCAGGCTGGAGTGCAGTGGCGCTATCTCGGCTCACTGCAAGCTCCACCTCCAGGGTTCACGCCATTCTCCTGCCTCAGCCTCCGGAGTAGCTGGGACTACAGGCGCCCGCTACCACGCCCGGCTAATTTTTTTTTTTTTTTTTTTTTTTTTTTTGTATTTTTAGTAGAGACGGGGTTTCACCGTGTTAGCCAGGATGGTCTCGATCTCCTGACCTCATGATCCACCCGCTTCGGCCTCTCAAAGTGCTGGGATTATTCTTAAATGATTTTATACACACCCATTTTCCCCCTTTTACCTGTAAACTTTGAAATGAAGTTGAAAGGCCACCAGTGTCCATGACAGGTCCCTCTGCACACATGGTGGCATGGTTAGGAGATACATGAGCCTGTTCCCACCCCAGGGTTTTTATTCTGTCATGCAGAGCCAAGTGAAGGATGCCGGTGACTATTGAAGCCTAAACAGAACAAACCCAGGAGCCCGGGGGGAAAAATGGCTTTATTCTCAGTATGAAAGGCAAGAGGACCTGATTGGGCAAGTGGTGGGCAGATTGCTGTCACGGCCCACTTCCGATGACATTAAACAACAAAACCCAGGAATGACTTTGGACCCTGCCTTTTTCGGATTTTGATTGGTGCCATCCTGGTTCTTCCATCCTGCCAGCCAGCCGGCACCCCAGCAGTTGTGGGAAAAGGAATTTGACTTTGATTAACTGAGAAAAACTGTGCATGCGTTTTCTGTTTTTTCTGGAACTGTGAGGGTTTTCCTATGCCCCAGGGGCTCCCTCACAGCTGTCCTATCCCAAGCATTCCCGACAGGAATCTCCAGCTGGGTTGGAGTGACAGCTGGCTTCCAGCACCGCAGCTCCGCAACCCCTGCTGGCGTCTCCCGAGGCTCGCGCGCCCCTGGTGGGCGTGAGAAGAGGCGTCCCCGCGGCGGTCCGGCCTCAGGAAGCCCGTGGGAGGCAGAGTCAGTCCCGCGGATGACGCGCCCAGTGGGCTACGTTCAGGAAGTCATTTGATCATATGGGCAGAGCGAAGGTCAAGGCATAGTGGATAACAGAAACCAGAAATGAAAAAAATCTCTTTCACTCCCGCCTCCTAACTTTCATATTATGATCCTTACAGGGGAAAGGGTAGTCAGAAAGCCACGTAGGACTGTGGAGGGAGGGAAATCCCAGTCACGTCGTTTCAGTGTGTGAAAGGCAAAGGAAATTTCGGGCCCCCAATCACTATGCAAAAAGGAAAAAATTAAGATGGAAGCTGAGCCATGCAAGAAACAGCCTTTTCCTTCTATTGCTAAGCAAATAGCTAACAGATGAAAGGCCAGATATCTCCACAGAGAGCTACACTAGGTTCACCTTTTATGTAAAGTACCGATTTACTGAGATGAATACATCACTGACTATTTTCCTACCTGCTCCTTTTCTCCTGCAATGCATGGATTATGCCATGTGACCATACCCTCCCTCTTTCGCCTCCACTTTTCCCCTTTAAATACTGAAACCTTCAAAATATCTTTGCAGAAAGACACAGACCACAGGCTGTCTCTGTGATTGTGTGTTCCATTATTCCAGGCATGTTCTTAACCTTGGTAAAATAAACTTCTAAGTTGATTGAGACCTGTCTCAAAGACTGGTTTACAAGTGTGCATAGCACATCTGCAGGCAGGCATACATTTCTGAGGCATACTCGCTGAGATAGCTCCTTCCTTTCTCTGTCCCCCTCTTACTGACTGAATCTCATTTATGGCACTAACAGCAAAGCTGAAAGCCCCAGAAAAGATCTGGTTCACCCATTCCAGATAGGCTGCTGGAAGGTCGTTTGAGGAAGAAAAATGGGTGCCTTCCATATTTCATGTTAACCCAATACTTTTTCCATCAAGGCAGCTGCAAAAGGATTAACATAGGTGGTCCTATTCCCTTTCCTAATTCATCCATTGAAAGCCACTGCTGGCCTGGAGTTTCATTTTCAATCCATCATGAATCTGCAGATGAATCTGCAGCTATCCCAGGGCAATCTGACAGTCCAGCCAGCAGCTGAGGCTGGATGGCAAGTTCCTATCCTCTGAGCACACATTGCTAACGTGTGATCCGAGAAGACCCAGGAGAAGTCAACAGGGCCAACTGCCGGCAGGGTTGGTCCTTGGTGTAGAGGGACAAGCTGAACTGGCCTTAAGTAATGAGGCAGACAGCTTCCCAGTTTGGGGGGATGTCACGCACCTTGGCCTGTTGCTCCTATACCCTCGGAATAGCTCTCACACCTTCTTCTTCATGTTGGACATTCCTTTTACAAAAACAGAAATCTCAAAGACAGATAAAGTTAAGAAGGTTAATCTCAGGTTAATCTCAAGGAGAGAAAAGGTATGCAAATACACCTCTGGGTGAGAAACACAGTAACTTAAATTTACCCTCGAATGAAAATGGCTGGTAACTATATAACTATATTAACCAACATTTTTTGAGCCCTTTCTGTGTACCTGCTGCTGTTCTAAGATTTTTATGCGTATAATCTCATTTAAACTCTATAGCAAACCAAAAGTAACTAAATATTCTTTTTCTTTGCATTTTTAGAGGAAAAAACTAAGCACAGAGAGGTAAATAACTTGCCCACAGTCACACAGCTGAGGACCAGTAGAATCAGGATCTAAATGCAGTGTCTGACCTAGAACATGGGCATGTATCCACCACCTTATATTGCTTCTCTATGCAACCTGATGCCAGTTACTTGCTTAAAAGTAGGCTTCCGTAGCAGGAAGAGTTTCAAATGCAAAAAATGAGAGGGAGAACAACAGTGACAGAGAGGTTGGAGGAGTTAAGCCTTCTCCAAGCTTCATCTCACTTTATAATTCTACCTTGGGGCAGCCCAGGACATAATGACCAATGTTCTGGGCAAACTTCAGAGTGCGCCTACTTCCTTTTTAAGTCTCTGGTGAAACATCAAAGAATTCCTGCTGTGCTGCTTTATTGAAAGTAGATCTCAACTTAGTTATCTAGTGGACCCCCCAGCTTGAGTCTTCAGTCAAGTGAGCTTCTTGTAAGGTCTCAATCACCAGTGTTGTTTTTATTTTTGTCTCAGATCTATCAAGAATTCTCGGCGTGTTGGATGGCATTTAGACATGTAGGAAGGCAATATGGCTTCCCAGAAATGAAGCGTGATTCTGAGGCTATGTTTAAACATATCAAGTGGAGAATTGGGACATTTGTCCTAATACGTTTAGCTAAGTCATGATTTTCCTTCTGATATGCAGACTGAAACAGCAGCTGATTTGCTACTTGAATGCTTTGCATTCTCTGCTTCATTTTGCATGGACAGGGGTATTGGGCTGTTCTTCAGCATTGATTGACAGCCAGTTTGGCAAATGTGGTATGGTGGTTAACAGCATTGGTTCTAGAGCCAAACTGTGTGCTTTTCAGTTGTAGGTCCACCACTTCTTAGTTTGACTGTTGGTAAAATAACTCTTTCTGCCTCAATTTACACTATGTGAAAGGAAATAATAATGGTACATGCTCCATGGGTTGTTGTAAAATTCTTATAAAGCCTACAAAATCATATCTGGCATGCAATTATTGCTGAATAAAGTTAGCCTTTATTATTTTGCATCTTACTGTGTGTGCATAAAAACTATAGTAGATATATATCATACACACATATATACATCATGCATCATGACTTAGCCAAATTTATTAGAGCAAATGTTTCAATTCTCCTCCTGATATATTTAAACACAGCCTCAGAATTACACTTCATTTCTGAGAAGTCATACTTTCTTCCTATGTGTCTAAATAATATCCAACACTCAGAATTCTTGATAGATCTTGACAGAACTCAGATTTAGATGCCAGTTCTATTCAGAATCAAACTACATATGCCTTTCACATTGTCACTTTTAATTCATGGTTAAGAGCTTTTGAGAGTAACGTCAAAGGTACGTGACATCCTAAATCATAACTTTATCAAGGTTTGAGTTTAAATCGTGCTCATTATGAAGCCAGAATGGGTGAGTAATTCACATAACAAGTGTGTGAGCCTGGTTAACTACCCCATGTCTGCATTTCAAATCAGTTTTGGTAATCTTACATATTACATAATTTTATTTAATCTTCAAACTAATTTCATTATTTCTTTTCTTTACAAATGAGCCAATTATGCACTATAACAGTGGTGTTAATTAAGGCTTTCTCAGTTACAGGTAACAGAACCACAATCAAATTAGTTTAAGCAAAAGTGGGCACTTACCACGTAACTGGGAAAGATAGTAGATTGGTACACCTTCAGGTACAGCTAGATTCAGGTGCCCAAACAGTGTTCTCAGAGTTCTGGCTCTTCCTTTTGTGTTGTTTCCTCTCTTTGTGTATTTATTTCATTCCAAGGTAGATCTTCAAGGAGAGGAATTTATGAGGTCCACAGACCGATAGATTGAGATTTAAAAAGAAGACTAACCCTTTTCTTCTCCAAATGTTCAGGTATATGTGGCAGTACAGGGTATCATGATTGGCTTAGTCTGAGCCATGTGCTGGCCCCATAGAAATAATTATATCCATTAGGATCATGTTTTCTGTGAATGCCAGACATTCAAAATAATAGCGACTTAAAGTAGAAGTTTATTTCTCTAACACAGATAAGCAGCCCAAGACTGGTGTGGCAGCCTGGCTCGGTGCAGTCCTCAGAAATCCAGATACTTTCTATTTTTTTAATCTGCTTTTGCCAAGGTCACCACGTGGCCCCATTTGGCAGCTCTCACTCTGGCCATTACATCCCCTTATCAGTCATTAGGATAGAAGAAGGGACTACAGGTGTGCACCAAGACTCCTTTAGGAAAGGTTCCCAGAAGCTCACATGCAACATTCCTTCTTCCATTCCACTGGCCTGAATTTGATCACACTACCTCACTGTATCAGTCTGCTTTCACGCTGCTATAAAGAACTACCTGAGACTGGGTAATTTATAAAGGAAAGAGGTTTAATTGACTAGCAATTCTGCAAGGCTGGGGAAGCCTCAGGAAACTTACAATCATAGTGGAAAGCAAAGCGGAAGCAAGGCACGTCTTACATGGTAGCAAGACTTGAAAAGTGAGAGAACAAGGAGGTGTGCCACACTTTAAAACCATCAGCTTTCATGAGAACTCACTCACTATCACAAGAACAGCATGGGGGAAGCCACCCCCATGATCCAATAACCTCTCACCAGTTCCCTCCCTCCACACGTGGGGATTACAATTCAAGATGAGATTTGGGTGGGGACACAGAGACAAACCATATCACCCATCTACCTGCAAAGGAAGCAGGAGAAGGTAAACTAGACTCTGAGTAGCCATTTGACCAGTTGGAGTTTGGGGATTCTATTACTGAGAAAAGAAGAATGGATGTTGGTGACCATTTTTGTTGGGGGCTGATATCTGAACATCTCCTCTGCCTCCTGCTCTCTTCTCATACCTTTCTTATGACCCCATTTTTCTATTCTCCTTTTATTCTCTTGACCAGATAGGATCTTTAAATGTTTTTAATGATTTTCATTGAGCTGGTGAGCCACACATGGGTCAATTTGTCCTAAATTTGTCTAGGCCCTGAGGGATGCTGTGACCCAGATGAGGCCCATGTCTCAATCCATTCTGGGATTCCAGGACTAGTCCTTGGTAAAATTGTGGAAGGCAAAGAGAGATGGGTCTTGTCTTTACTCTGATATCACTGTTAGCTGCAACTCTTACACACACACACACACACACACACACACACACACACACATCCTGTTAGGCTGCCTTACCCATATCAAATCTTTCCTATCATATTTTTTCACATCAGTACTCATTAGAGGTCACTGGCACCTGACTCCATTATCTCCCATCCCCCATTCATTAGGGTTTTCAAGAGTCTGCTAAATGACACTCACAGCTACAGGATAACTATAAATCTTTTCAAACTTTTCTTTGCTTAGAGACTTTTGAAAAACATACTTATATTAAAATTGGCATAAGAAAGATGTTTTAGCCATATTTATAAACATATAGAAATTTGAGTAGGTGACAAATCATCCATAAACCTGATATCCCTAATAAGGGAAACCAAGTAAAAAAGACCTTTACATAGTGTTCAATATAGATTTGCCTATATTTTATAGCACCTTCCAAACCTCTAATCTTATTAAGGTTTTCTGTAGTCAAACAAGAATAATAGATTCTGCTATTAAGTGGCTCTGTGACCTGCCTAAGGCACTTAGCCTCTCCAGAATTGCCTCAGTTTACCCAAATACAAGAGGTGGACTTCAGAATCTCTAAAAATTTCATCAAGCCATAAAACAGATGATATAATTCATGAGAAAGGAGGAGCTCAAGAAGGGAAGGTGTGAGATCATCTGTAATTTGCTTGTAAATGTCTCCATATAGGTATTACACTGTATACAGCCTGCAGGGGGACTATAATCCACACCCTGGGGGAGGTTAAATAGTATGCAAAGTATTCTGAAAAGGAATACACACTCCAATAGCAGTTAGTTAGTATTTGAAAGATCCTAATCAAAAGTCTCTACTGGAGAAATATCTGTTGCAAAACTTTAAGTATTTCTATAGCAAGCTATACCAGAGGGTTTGTTATTAGTATAAAGGATGCTTAAAATAATTTTTGCATTGGTTAAATACAATTATCAAGATAGCTATAGGTACAATACTTTGGCAGGCCCAGTGAACTAACTTTTGGGGTAGAACCTTTGACTAGAACTCTATTTGGTCCTAGTTTTCACTCACTTAATACAAGTTTTCATTGGCTCATCCAACTAGAGCAGTGATTCCCAATCAGTAATGATTTTGCCCCTTGGGGGACATTTGTCAATGTCTTAGAGATTTGGGATTGTCACTACTGGGGAAGTGTGCTATGAGCATAAAGTAAGTAGAGGCCAGGGATGCCACTAAACATATCACAATGCAGAGAACAGCCCTCACAGAAAAGAATATCCAGCTCAAAATATCACCAGGGCTGAGGTTCAGAAACCCTAGGGTAGAGAGTTGACTGATCCTGGCCTTCAGATTATTTGAATGCATGTGTGTAGAATGAACCTTTAATCCAAGAGGCTTGGTGGTGGAGCACTTAAAAGGACAGAGCAGAGACTTCCCTACACATACAAAACAGGTTGGATGGCTATTTGTGGGTTTGTTGGTTTATCGGGGGAACCAGACTCCAATATTTCAATGCAAGTTCTTTCTATTTTCCCTAAGTGTTGGCTGGTCTGAGAAATAAAGAGAAAGAGCACAAAGGAGGAATTTTACAGCTGGGCCTCTGGGGGTAACATCACATATTGGGAGGTCCGTTATGTCCCCTGAGCCACAAAACCAGTAAGTTTTTATTAGGATTTTAAAAGCGGAGGGGGTGTACAAACAAAGAGAAGGTCACAAAGATCACATGCTTCAAAGGGCAATAAAGATCACAAGGCAAAGGCAAAATTAGAATTACTGATGAGGATCTATGTCCCACTGTGCACATACTGTCTTAATAAACATCTTAACAGAAAACAGGGTTCGAGAGCAGAGAACCAGTTTGACCAAAATTTACCAGGCTGGAATTTTCCAATCCTAGTAAGCCTGAGGGTACTGCAGGAGACCAGGGAATATTTCAGTCCTCATCTCAACCACATAAGACAGACACTTCCAGAGCGGCCATTTATAGACCTCCCCCCAGGAATGCATTCCTTCCCCAAGGTATTCCTTGCTGGGAAAAGAATTCAGCAATATCTCTCCTACTTGCACATCTGTTTATATGCTCTCTGCAAGAAGAAAAATACAGTTCTATTCTGCCTGACCCTGCAGGCAGTCAGACCTTATGGTTATCTTCCCTTGTTCCCTGAAAATCGCTGTTATTCTGTTCTTTTTCAAGGTGCACTGATTTCACATTGTTCAAACACACATGTTTTACAATCTATTTGTACAATAGTGGTCCTGAGGTGACATACATTCTCAGCTTATGAAGATAACGGGATTAAGAGAGTAAAGACAGACATAAGAAATTATAAGACTATTATTAGGGAAGTGATAAATGTCCATGAAATCTTCACAATTTATGTTCAGAGACTGCAGTAAAGACAGGCATAAGAAATTATAAAAGTAGCAATTTTGGGAACTGATACATGGCCATGAAATCTTCACAACTGATGTTCTTCTGCCGCAGCTCCAGCTGGTCCCTCCGTTCAGAGTCCCTGACTTCCCACAACAATGGTTAACAAATATGAATGTGTAGCAGAATTTAGTTCAAATCTTGATTCATTTTAACATAATCAGAGAGGGGGTTAGAGTTCCCATCCACTTCTAATTATCAGAGGCTCCAGATATTACTGAAAGAACCTGACATTTGTGAATGGCCAGATTGGCTCAGCTCAGTTCACAGAAGGAAAGGATGCAGATGGGGATGTATCAAGGATATGGTGTGGGAAGCATGAGACATTTTCAAAATTTCAAGCCACTATGACTTATTCCCACTATGTAAGATTAAAGAAGTCAGACACTCAGATTCAGGGAGGATTTCCCACATTTTTCATGTTGCTCATCTAAATCCCAAATTCCATACTGCCTAGAGATTATGAAATGCTTAATTTCTACCCACTCCCCATCCTACATGCCCACTTTGCCATCACCATCCCAACACCTCAAAAGAATAAAGTATCTGCTAGTCCTCCTGGAATGATTGAGGGTTTGGGCTCAAAGAAAAGCTGAATACCATGTCAGATTTATGGTGAGCCAGATCATTAATCAACTGAGGTGACCATTAATCACCAAAAGTGATAAAGATAGATAGTAGGCATGGTACTGGTTGAGAATCTAGAGAGAAATAAATATCAAAATGCTTTACCCTCATTCTGGTACCTCCTTATCATTATTTTGACCTAGCAGTTTTAATTTGCAGTACTAGATGAAAATACTAGGTTATCTTTGAAATTTGAGCTTCTGCTTCTTCCAGAGAGAAACTCATATATTTAAGAAATGTTGTCATTGGTTTGGGCTAGGGACCTTTCCATGTGAGACAGACCACAGCATGTTCCTTTTAATAAAACCAAAGGACAATAACAGCAGCAGCAGCAACAAAGCCTAGAGTTCACTTCTGAGGTCAGATACTCAGCAGAGTGTTAAGGGCATAGCTTTCTTTAGGCCTAACTATGAGGTTAGTGGAGGGTTTGCAGGACTGTGAAGCACAGCGAGAAACAAAGCTGGAATCCATTTCCAATCTGGACTTTGGAGATAATACAACTGGGCTGGTGACAGGATAGCTTCCTATCTAGTCTGAACATTGAATAGTAATATTTTCATACATATTAAACTCTAAGATAGGTTCATATTCATTATCCCATTGTATTACTCTGCTACTCTGTAAGTAGTAAAGTCATGTGGAAGGAGATAGTCAGCTATTATTTCCATTTGACAAGTTAGTAAACTAAGATCAAGAGCTTAAATGATTTCTTACTAAAATTACCCAGCCAGCTGGATGGGCAATCCAAGCCTGCAGCCAGGATGCTTGGCTTCCAGACTTGTTTTCTATCCACTAGAGCAGTGGTTCTCAAGGTGTCTGTGAGGTGGGGGTTGTGGGGGAGTCAGTAGCAGTAGCAGCATGGCCTGAGAACTTATTAGATTCTGGCACATTCTTATACCTTGTTAGATCCTGGCACATTTAAGAATGTACATTCTTAGATCTCACCCTAGATCTACTGACCCAGTTTCTACAGAGGACAGGAAGATGTCAAGGTGGGAAGCCCTCCACATGCCATCACATGCATGGTCTGGGAACATCTGCATGAGGGAATCTCCCTGGTCCTCTTGGGTTGTGGTGACTTACGGAAGCTCTTGGGAGGGACCTGGAGGCTCTACTGAAAGTGGAGGTTTGTAAAGTGTGGGGCCCTGTAATCTGTTTTAATCAGTCCTCCCTGGGATACAGATGCACCTCAAGTTTGAGAGGTATTGCCCTCAGGGGTGCTGTTTTCACTTGCTACAAATTGTTCTCATACCTTTGCATTAAAGAAACTCTTGTTAATCTCTCATTTTGTTTCCAGTGCATTTTAACTCTACAAAATTGTCATAAAGTCTCTACTTAGGAAACCTTATAACTTAAAGGACCACTCAGAATCCTTAAAATATTTTTGTTTGTTAAATTTCCTGAGCTGACTCATTGCTGATTGGGTATAGAAACTTTAGCTTTTTTTTTTTTTTTTTTTTTTTTTCACTTGATCTATCTTGGAACTTCCTTGCCCCAGCTAGATTTTTATCTCCTTAGGAACTATGGAAAGAAAGCATATCTAAAAATACTTCTTTAAAGTTCTCTGATACCTTCTGTTTGTTAATATGATAATGTTGTACATAAATAGCTATAAAATATACTGTTAAACTTAAAAGATCTGGGAAAGAGCTTTTGAACACCCCCAACCTTCAACACACACATGCACACCCACACGTACATACAATACCAGATACAAAGAAGGTGCTAACTCAATATTTATTAAATTTATTAAAGGGCTTCTCTTAGAATCTCAGAGGAAAGCAAATGCTGTGAAGCCGGGCTGCCTGGAAGTACCTTTATTTGAAATCTTTAACAAGATCTTAAAAGAGTAATGACAGTACTGTGTCTAATGAAAAATGAGTATTTGATTCTAACATATTCAACATAAGAATTTCATAATATATATTTGATCTGCAATATAAATGAGAGTTTCTATATCTTATTCATTCATTTATTGTTTTATTCATTCAACCATTGTTGAGTGCCCACAATGTGCCAGCCATGCATCTAGGCACGTGGCCAGCATGGTCAATAACAACATGTGCCTGCCCTCATGGGGCTTACAGTCTATAGGAAAGACAGTCAATCAAACAAGTGGTTTACAATGAAGTATGATGAATGTTGTCACAGGACACACTAGATACATTAGGAGCACATAGCAGAGTAACAGAATTATGTGGGGCAGAAAGATGACAAGGGTCACACATGGGGCTGGAGGCCTTAGACCTTGGAGGTCCTATCCAAAGCAAGGCTGACAAAAAAGCTGCCCCAAACTGCACTGACCATTGGAAGGTAAGGCCTGCATGGAGGAGGTGCTGCTGTGGTCTGGCCAATGCCAACAGGCAGGTCACTTCCTTGGCCTTTGGGAAAGGATGGCAATGATGGAGAAGGTCAAGAAGATCACACCAGCCGTGCCTCCAATCACCATGCCCAGGACGCTGCCGTGCAACTGCATGGCCTGACAGCGCTCCCATTTAGAAGAAAGCATGTCCAGAGATGCACCTGAGGGAAAAGGACATGAAGAGAGTGTGGGAACTCCCAGGCCTCAGGTGCCTCCTAGCAACACTCATCTCCACAGCAATAAAAATGGCAAACGCTCACTGAGCAGGTCCACGTGGTGCCTGGTCCCATTTCAAGTGCTGTATATGGACCAACTAATTTAACCCTTCAACAACTTTTGAGGTGGAGGCTATTACTTGGCCATTCTCATCATCTTCATCTTACAGGAAGGTTAAATAATTTGCTCAAGGTCCCATTGTTAGTAAGCATTTCACACTTGAAATCTAATCCCAAGAGGTATGCCTCCAGATCCAGGCTTCTCAGCCACCTAGGATTCAGGAGGATGGTCTGAGACACTTAAAGGAATACATTGCCTGACACTGGCTAAGAATACAAGCTACAAAGGAAATTCCCCAGATACAGTCTGACTTAGAGCATCAGTGGTAGCTTGAAAACGTCTAAATAATATTAAATAAAATGTTACTGTAAGGTTAGTGTGTACTGTCACTATCTCACAAGGTTGCCCTGAAGTTCACCTGAGATAATGAGGACACTGTACCTATCAAGGTATTTGACACAGAGTAAGCACATAATGGCCAGCCCTTAGTTTTGTTTCTTAATGTTATCTGGTATAAAGACGAATTAATCTCATAACCAAGGCATATAACTTGTAGTGTCTCATCCATACCTTTGTAAAAATTCCAGCCTTTGTTTCAAACATTCCCACTAGAAGGTCTACTCAGCAGAATTCTACAAGGCAGAGTGAAACAATCAGAAGTCAGCATTTTCTGGCTGGGCATGGTGGCACACGCCTGTAATCCCAGCACTTTGGGAGGCCAGGTGGATCACCTGAGGTCAGGAGTTTGAGACCAGCCTGGCCAAAATGGCGAAACCAGCCTGGCCAACATGGTCTCATCTGTATTAAAAATAACAACAGCAACAACAACAAAAATAGCCAGACATGGTGGCGGGCACCTGTAATCCCAGCTACTCGGGAGGCTGAGGCAGGAGAATTGCTTGAACCCGGGAGGTCGAAGTTGCAGTGAGCTGAAATTGTGCCACTGCACTCCAGCCTGGGTGACAAGAGCAAAACTGTGTCTCAAAAAAAAAAAAAGAAGAAGAAGTCAGCATTTTCTTTTACTAATCCTGAATGATTTTACCTTCCAAGTCCTCATCTCTATCCTGAGAATTGACTTCTTAGAAATCAGTGAGTAATAGCAAGTTTATTTCATTTTTTTTCTGACCCAGTCCCCTCCAAACACAACTTCGTAATATCCCCTACTGTTATCTTAGAAAAACTTATTCTGCCAACTCTCAGCTGCAGGTTTCTAGGAGAGGAATAGTTTGGCTGAGTAGAGGCTGACATACAAGTGGCAACCCTGGCCTCCCTTAGCCTGGGAAGGATGAAGCGTGTTGGGGGCACACAATGGAATCTGGCATCTAAGGACCTGTCAGGCAAAGATATGAAGACCCATGGCTTTGGAGCCCAGAAACAGATGGGCCTTCCCCAGTAAAAGGAGCCAGAGGGCTTCTTGGAAGAGTGATTGATTCTATGGGTGGGGCAGGAAATATAAAAGATGAGCCTAGAGCATGCTATGGTGCCAGAAAGTAACATTGTGTTCATAAAATCTGATGTTGAAAGATCACAGGAGCCAACCTGGAAGAGCTCCCAAAGGCCAAAGCTGGGACAATAGAAGCAACAAAATAAATTATGAAATCATTGCAACAGAGCCCACTGAATCAATGTTTATGATTCCTTTGTGATATACATAAACAATCGCATAAACAAATTAACGGGGTGAAGGGGCCATTCTTCTTTACAGAAGAATTCTAATTAATGAATGTGAAGGACATAGGAAATCAACATTAGAAGATCCCAGTGGTGAGTATTGCAGCAGGTTGTATCAATAGATGCTGAAATTAGCATGTGAGGATTTGAGGAAAAGCAGGATGTCTCAATGGTCTTGAACTATCTCTCCCAAGATATGTATCAATTACAGAGGGAGAAATGGTAACTCTTCAGTGGAGAGGCCTGGTGGACATGCTGTTGGCCAGATGATGAAGGTTGACATCACCAGTAATGACATGTATCAGCATCATGTACCTGCTCACATGATGCAACAAGAAGGCACAGCACATATTTACTAATCTTGCCACAAATGTGAAACCTCAATTTAATCATGAGAGAACAAGATGAACCAAAAAAAAATCCCTAACCAGTAATCTTCAAAAGTGTCAAGGTAATGAAAGACAAGAAAGAACTGAGGAATTGTCCCAGATTGGAGGGGATTAGGAGACAGGAGACATAAAAACTAAATGTAACGTGAGATCCGGAATTGGATCCTGAAATAGAAAAAGAACATTAGTGGGAAAACTGGGAAGAGCCGAATAAGGCCTGTAATTTATTTACTAGCATTCTACCAATGTTCATTTCTTGGCTATGCTAATTGTACTATGGTTTGTGTAATATGCCAACATTACGGAAAGCAGGGTGAATGGTATAGAGAAAGCCTCTGTAGTATTTTTGCAAGGTATCTGTAAGTCTAAAATTATTGCAAAGCAAAAGCTACAAAAAGAAAAAAAAGGAGACTAAAAAGAACTCAGAAGAAATGTAAATTTTTGAGGTAGGCAGAATAGCTCCTACATCTGCTACTGTTCAAATGGAACTGTTGCTTCTGTCATCACATACCTCCTTTTGTGAAACAGTTTTTAGGGTTTTATGCAAGCAAACATTGTAAAAAGAACTATTAAAGTTCTTTTTAAATATTTAAATTTAAATATAGCAAACTGTACTGCTTTTTAATATTTAAACATTAAATATAGCAAACTGTGCTGCCAGACAGACCTAGATGCAAGTCCCAGCTTCAGCATTTTCCATCTGGGTACCTTTCAGATAAATTACTTAACCTTTCTAAGCCTCAACTTCTTGATACACCAAATGGGGATAAGGAGAGCCCTTATGTCACAGGTGGCAGTGAGAATGAATTTAGATCATGCGTGTAAGATGCTCAGGAGACCACATGATGCATAACAAGGGGTCAGAAATATCAGGTGTTCTTACTACTATTATTGAAAACATAACTTTAACAATAGTGCAGTGTAAATGACAGACTGTATAACTAATAATCATTAGGAGCTAATAATAACATCTGCGTAGTCAGCAAAGATTTAAGCTTGGTCTTGAGACCCACTGTCATGGAGTAGAAAGTCCCTAGGCTAGAAGCCATCTTGGATGTTGTTAGAGTTAGAAATTCCAACAACATCCAAGATGCTGTTGACAATACCCCAGAGGAGGAAAAGGGGTGAAAGTCAAGAGACAAGGAGACCTGGGACGCCTCTGTCCTGGCAGCGTAAGCCCATGAATCCAGGGCACACCTTTGTAGAGTCAAGGAAAACTGCATCCAGCTGACCATCTGAGGTAGTCTTCGCCCTACTCTGCAAACAGCAGCCTTTACCAGGCATAAGCATGCACACGGCCCAGGTCTGCTGGCCTGCCTGTCTCCCCAGCCACAGAGCCTACCTGCACCTCGCCACCCACTTCAGGTTCACACAGATGCCATCATTTTGGCAAGGGTTTGGGTCACATGGGTCTCTGAAGTACTGTGGCCAGTTATGGTCCTCCAGGGGGCCTGTGTTCTTCACTGACGGCTTCTGTCAGCTGGGCTGCCCCTGGCTGAGGCTGACAGGTACGGCTTCCTCTAACATGGCCTTTCCTGAACCTTCTTTGGAGACCTGCTGCTCCTGGCCTTGGAGAATGAGGCCTTGGGGGCTCAGTCTTTTGCCTTTAGTGGGAACTTCAGTCTGGCTGAGGTGGGTGATATCTTCAGGAAATAGAGGGTCACGAGGAAGATCCAGGATTAGTAACTGACTACAGCGAACTCCCACTTCTGGTGAAAGTTCCCCAGCCTGCTTCTATCTCTAGTGATATGTCACCCCCAGTGACATGGAAAAGTGGCTTTGAATCCAGCTGATTCCCACGGTACTAGCTAGTTTTATTTTAAAGTAATCCAGTCACATTTTTATTTATTGAATTTGCAAAATGAAGCATAAAGTTAGCATGGATAGACTGATGGAAACTAAATTGAAATCAGTGAACTGTTACCTCTGATAAAATTTTCAAAAAGATGACACTAAAATTTCAGTTTCTTTCAGGGACAGTTAAAATAAAGATGTGCGTCCTTGACCAACTGAAGAAAATGTGGTTCTCCTACAACACATTTTTTTTAACCTCATCCCCACCCTCCATGTGTGCTTTAAAATCAGGATAAAATCAGTAGAGTGCCAAGAGCATAGGATTATTTACTCAGGAAGACCAAGAAAAGTACTTTCAAAGTCCACAAACATGATGAGGTCATCATTTTTCAGGAAACTCCTCCTTTTCAGCATTTGGTGGGAGATGAAACCACTCCAGCCAAAGTCAATGCTTCTAAAACAATTACAGTCAGCATGATAGGTTCCCACCCTGGACGGCCTGTCCCAGATGACAGTGTCATTTGTCCCTGCAAAATTGTAGGTAACATAAAATCACATTACCTCTTTAGACTTCGCTTTCCAGTTTGTCTTTTATGAGGATACAGGGCTTTGTGAATCAGAAAAAAATAAATAAATAAAAATAAAAATAAAAATAAAAAAATGTTGGAAAAAAATTAAGCTATTTACTCTTTCCAGGAGAATTGAAATTCAGAATTGAAAGATGGGAAAGGCAGAGAATCACAGCTCTGAGTGATCAGTTGTCTGCTACTGCGTGATTTTTTTAATGAAAAGAGAGGGACAGCTATGGCTTCTTTCTTCTGAGGCTTAGGTCTTCTCTTTTGAAAAAAAAAAATAGTGCCAGGTGTGGTGGCTCATGTCTGTAATCCTAGCACTTTGGAAGGCTGAGGCAAGTTGATTGCCTGAGCTCAGGAGTTCAAGACCAGCCTGGGCAACAGGGTGAAACCCCGTCTCTACTCGGGAGTCTGAAATAGGAGAATTGCTTGAACCTGGGAGGTGGAGGTTGCAGTGAGCCAAGATTGCGCCATTACATTCCAGCCTGGGTGACAGAGCGAGACTCCATCTCAAAAAAAAAAAAAAAAAGTTTTCCCATTTCTTTACTGATGTAAGTTTATTTCATGAACATAGTGATATTGAGTGCTATTTTAGGAGTAAGTACATTAGCTCTGCACAGAGCCTAGCAAGTTCCGAGTATTTGATAAATGATTAGCAGTATCTGTTTCCTCAATCACAACGAGCTCAATGAGGCAGGGATCACCTGATTCACTTGTATTGTAAGTACCTAGCACAGAGTTTGGCACATGGTAAGCCCTCAACAGATGTTTGATGAGTGAATTTAGGAAAGGGAAGGAGGATGTGATGGCATTGAAAATCTTAACTTGAAACTCCAACACGCCTATGTTATCGGTATTCCCAGGCGGACAATGTGAGGAGAATGTTACTCTTTCTTGCACCACAGAATCACATCTGTGGGCCTCTCTGGTTCGAGGGGCAGTTCTTATTTATGCCGACACCACCCACCTGGAGATATGTGCAACTTGGAGGTAGTGAACACCAAACTTGAGGACATCCTGTTCCTGACATCAGGCTCCTGGTCGAAGATGGTAATTATCACCTGTCTGTTTTCTACCGGCCACTCCAGGATAGCATCATTCTCCCCACTGCACACGTGAAAAGCAAGTCTCAAATAGCCAGAGCTTTCTCTGCCATGGGGGTATAAAGTTAACCCAAAACCGCATCCCTCTGAATTGTAGAATCGAGGGCTCTGAAGCTTGTCCCCTTCGCTGGTGTTCTCAAGGACCTGGGAGAAATTCCGGACTGTCCAGACCCCTGTGGGGCAGGGGGTTTCTGTCAGAGTGATGTCATCCAGGTAAATTCCCCCAGTTGAGTTCCGAGGGTCGCCTTTTGTGCCCTGGAAAAGTTAGCGAAATTTCTGTTCCTCTTTGAGTACCACATGGGCAATTTTCCAATTATGGTCATCATCTCCTGAGGACAGAGAACAAGGCTGGTGAGAATTGTGGCCAACACTTAATGAGTACTTATTATGAGTGTGGCACAGTGCCATGTGCTTTCCATAAATGATCTCATTAAATCCCCACAGCAGCCCTATAAAATAGGTACTATTATGAACTGGTTAAGTAACTTTTCCAAAGTTACATATTTAATAAGGAAAAATGGTTTTTTAAAATACTATGATTTATTTTAAAATTCACATTCAAATCTTAACCATGAATTTGTTTTCCACTATCACTATAAGAATCCAGGTTCTGAATTTCCTCCTGAGTTGGCTGGTTCAACTGTAACCCCTAATGTTAGCAATGAAAGCCCATTAGGCTGAATCGTATAAAATAGCCATTTTGTAAGCCAAAAGTCAAAAAATAATAACTCCATATGGTCCCACCTGTCACTTGTTGCCAGAGAGGTATAAGGAATGCTGAAGAGCAGATAATAACCTGTAGGACTGACTGGATCTTCCCTACCTGAAACCGACTCCCTCTCCAACATCTAGACTTTTTTCTCTTCCTTATATTATCTGAAAGTTCAGCATGTAGGGCAGTGAAGTAAGCCAAAGAGAGTACTATTGTCTAGAAATTCACATTCTAATAAAGATTAGGTCTACTTGCTTTTTCTCTGAGCATGAACTAGAAGTGGGACTTTTGAATTAAGAGCTGAGGAAAGATGGTGAGAAGGCTGTTCTAGAGCATGGGATCCTGGGTTGAACAGCAGAAGAAGCCAGGCAGGAGCTTGGGGGCACTGGAGAGAGGAAACTGAAAGCAGAGCAACTCAGTTCCGCAAAGAGATGCGCCTACACTGATATTTTTGCACAGGACATTCCCTAGAGTTGGGCTTGAAGAGGAGAGGAAAAATGCTTCCAAGTGGAAGTCACGTTGGCTAAACTGAGTTCCTACAGATGAGTGTCTTTTTTCCTTCTTCTGTGTCTTTTAACCAGAAATCTACTGACAGAACTATACTTTCCCTGAAACAGAAAAGACCTTTAATCTCCCTTTGTTTTCAGACCATTCTCTCTAAGGACTTCAAGGGACAGGTATACCAATGTTATGTTTCCTAGGGTGGAGCTGATTATGGCCTGTGTGGTTAGGTTACATGGGAACATAGGAGAGAGGTAGAGAAGGCACACGACCACCTCTGTAACATACAAATCTAGGTAGCTGCCATCTCCTGGGGAGAGCACTGCAACCTACTGGAAGACACATGGACTTGAAGGGTAATAGGTGCCAGAAAGTCTAGGAATAGGAACAGAGATACAGCATTTGAACTATTTATCCAGCAGGTTATAGATGACGGGAATTCTGTCAAGAGAATAGGATTCCGTTCCTGCTGATGAGTACCTGCTTTGTTTTTTCTTAATATAGGATGTCCAAATGAGGTTGAGATGGGGGAATTTGGCACTGGGAAGGAGACCCAAGAGGGTCACATAAAGAACACTAAGTGATATTCAACTAACCTTTTTGAAAAGTTTCATTGACAAACCAGTATCAGAACAGACTACTTTAAAAATCCTTTCATACAGTGTTCCCAGGGACAGTACACAGGCATACTCTGAATTCAATGAAAACACAAAGCACAGCAGTGTAAGAAACTAATCATGGGATGTTCGCTTGATTTTATGCTTTGAAGTAACACTGAGCTTTAGATGAAAGTGAGTGATAATAGGTCCCATCAATATTATTGAAACTCTAACTCATTTGCTCATTAAATATTTACAATCCTTGGTAACATAACACATCCTCAACTCTTAAAGAGTATCTACCTGTCATCCTTTCATCATATAAACTATGATAAATTTCAACCAGAAAAGTGAACCCCTCAAAACTGTGATTTGTAGAGTTCCCAGGCAGCCCAGAGTGCCTTGGATATAGGCGATTTGGGAACCTGTTCTTACAAGTGACCTCTAAGGAAGGTTTCTCCTTCAAGAGCAGCAGATATATAAAAAATAATTCCTTTCTCTGGACTCATTTCAACTGATAAATGCCAAGGTAGGCAGTTGGATGCTAGGATAATCTGGCCATAAATCATGATTCAGGGTTATAAACAAAGTGTATGCTTTATTTTGTTGTGGTGGTGGTTCCTTCATAACTAGGAAAAGGGAGACAAGCTTTCTTACTTTTCAACAAAAAGTTTCTCTATCTATAATCATTTACATGCTGACCTTCTTATATAAATACACAAAGTGACTCTTAGGAACATGTAAATGATTATAGGAAGTTAACATATACCAATGACTTATTTGCCACCAACATTATAAGTAGGCTTCTAGTTACTGCAGCATATTAAATAATGGTATCATTTGTTTTTCTGAAACAGATGCAAAACACTGTGGTCAATTTTTTTTTTTTAAGATGGTGTCTTGCTCTGTCGCCAGGCTGCAGAGCAGTGATGCAATCTTGGCTCACTGCAACCACATTGCTACCACTGTAGCCGAGCTGTGGTCTCTGATGTCACCACCAGCTGCAGCGAGGTAAGCCACGGAGGCGCAGGCTCTGGCTCCAGCCTCCAGCATGCAGCGGTGTCTCTTCCTTCTCCTCGTCTTCCAGCCCGGCAGGAGAAGCTCCCGCTGCTAGCCTCCCTCCTACCGCTCCGTCACCAACACCACCAACAGGGAGGCAGCGCCCTAGGCTCCAGGCTCCAGGCTCCAGCGGGTGAAAACTAATGGACCCTTCTAGTTCTCTAACCCAGGTACCTAGCAGCTGAGCACACCGACACAGAAGACCCAAAAATGACGCACCACTTCCTCAGCATGCTTTATATACTGAAGTTACGGATCCTGGACTACATGTTCTGATTGGATGAGAGAAAAACCTCTAGGCCTACTCTGATTGGACTTTATTTTCATGCTGTGATTGGTTATCTTAAGACTTGCTCTCATGCAATCAGAACATGAAGTCTAGGAACCGGCATGCGCATAACCTCCGTATATAAATGATGCTGAAAAGCTGTTACGGTTTTTTTTTTTTAGGGTTCGGTGTTTTACTGTTGAGCTGCTCAGTGCCCAGCTTAGAGGACCAGGAAAAGGAGTCACCGGCCATATGCTGGAGGCTTGAGACACGGCACAGCGGCGCAGCTCGCCTCGCTATGGTTGGTGGTGGCAGTGGAGCTTGCGATTGCCACGCGGCTGGAGGGGTAGGAAGAGGAAAATCGTTTTGGGATAGATAGAGGGGTGGGTAAAGAGTTTGGTTATTGCCAAAGGGAAAAAAGGATAGCGAGGAGGAGAAGGCGTTGCAAAAAGACGATGGGGAAAAGATGGTGGGGAAAAAAGGTTTTGGGTAGATGGAGGTGGAAAGACAGGGTGTGGAGCGGGAGTGAGGGAAGGTTTTGCAGAAAGACGGTGGATAGAAAGTTTATGGGTGGATGAAGGGGGAAAAGATGGTGGCAATTGGGGAGGGGAGAGAGTGGTGAGGTGGGGGAAATGGGCTAGCAGTAGGGAGAGAGGGTTTTGTGAAAAGACAGTGGGGAGAGAAGTTTTTGGGTAGATAGAGGAGCAGAAGAAGATAGCAAGTGGGAGAAGGAAAAAGGGTAACTAGCGGGAGGAAGACAAGGTTTTGCGAAAAAACAGTGGCAGAAAAGAAAGATGGTGGCGAAAAGACGGTAGGTAAAAAGTGTTTGGGTAGATGGAGGAGGGAAAGAGGGTGACGAGGAGGAGAAAGGAGGGTGGCGAGAAGGGAGCAGGGAAAGAAGGGTGGGAAAAAGACGGGAAAATAGTTTGGGATAGATGCAGGGCAAAAAAAAGGGTGACAAGCAGGATAGGGGAGAGAAGAGGACGAGTGGGAAGAGGGGGCAGACTTTGTGAAAAGATGGGGAAATTTTGGGGGGTAGATGGGGGGAAGAGAGAGGTGAGCAGGAGTGGGGAGAAGGCTTTGAGAAAAGATGGTGGGGAAATGTTTTTGGGTAGATGGAGAAGGGAAAGAGTGGCAAGGAGGAGCAGGAGGAAAGACAATGAGGAAAACAGTTTTTGGGTAGATAAAGGGGGAAAAGAGGGTGGTGAGCAGCAGGAGTAGGGAAAAGGCTTTGGGAAAAGACGGGGGGAAAATGTTTTTGCTTAGATGGAGGAGGAAAAGGGCATGATGACAGCAGGAGGGGGAAAAAAGAGGGTGGCCAGGGAGAAGGGGGAAAATACGGTGGGAAAAAACGGGAGAAAGTGTTTGGGTAGATGGTTGGGGAAAAGCGTGGTGAGCGGGAGAATAGAGAAGGCTTTGCGAAATGACGGGGGCGGGGGCGGGGAGAAAACGAAATGATGGTGGGGAGAAAACGGTGAAAACGTTTGGGGGTAGATGGAGGAAGAGAAAGGGTGGTGAGAGGGAGAGGGCGAAATGCGGTCGGGAAAAGAAGGTGGGGAAATGGTGGGGGACAAAAGTTTTGGGTAGATTTTTAAAAATAAGATTATTTGTATTTTCACTTTTGAGTAGTTTGAGTTCTTTAGATATTTTGTGTATTAACCTCTTGCCTGATGCATAGCTGCAAAGACTTTCTTCCATTCTCGGGTTCTGTCTTCATTATACTGATTGCTTCCTCTGCTTTGGAAAAGGTTTTAAGTTTAATGTAATTACATCTTTGCTTTTGTTGCTTGTGCTTTTGATGTCTATTTGAAAATTCCTTGTCCTAACCAATTTCATGAAGCATTTATCCTATGTTTTCTTCTCTGGTAGTTTCATAGTTTCAGGTTCTGTATTTAAATCTTTATTTTGAGTAGATTTTTGTATATGGTAAGGTAATGGCCTAGATGTATTCTTGTACATGTGGGTGTTGGGTTTTCCTAGTACAGTTTATTGAAGAGATTGTCCTTCCCGAAGGTGTGTTCTTGGGGCCTTTGTTAAAAATGAATTGACCGTAAACGCGTGAATTTATTTATGATTTCTCTATTCTGTTTCACTTGTCTATGTCTGTCTGTCTCATTCGTTCATCTCTCTTGTCTCTCCCCCGCCCCTTTTATTGAGAGTACCATACTGTTTTGATAGTACCATCCTTACTATAAATTTGTAGTATATTTTGAAATCAGGTAGTGTGATGCCTCCAGCTTTTCTTTTTATTCCACATTCTTTTGTCTATCTGAGGTATTTTGAACTTCCATGTGAATTTTGAGATTCTTTTTCTATTTCAATGAAGAATGTCTTGTAATTGAACATAGATTGCATTGATTCTGTAGATCACATTGGGTGATACACATATTTTAACATTCTTCTAGTGCATAGAGATGGGATATCTTTCCATTTACTTGTGTCTGCTTTAGTATCTTTCATCTATGTTTTATGAAGTTTTCATTTTGGGATCTCTTGCCTTTTTGGTTAAGTTTATTCCTAGATATCATTTTTTTGGTAATGAAATAGCTTTCTCGATTTCTTTCTTAGATATTTCACTATTGGTGCATGGGTGTAGTATTCATTTTTATATTTTGATACTGTATCTTGGAACTTGACTAATTTATTGTTTCTAGTAGGTTTTTTGTGGAATCTTTAGGGTTCTCTCTATATATGTTCATGTCACCTGGAAACAGACAATTTGACTCCTTTTTTCCAATTTGGATGCCTTTTATTGCATTCTCCTAATTGCTCTAGCTAGGACTTCCAGTATTATGATGAACAAAAGTGGTGTAAAAGTAGCCACACTTGTTCCAGATCTTAGAGGAGAAGAGCTTTTAACTTTTCCTTCTTGATTATGTTAGCTGTGGGTTTGTCATATATGGCCTTTATTGCACTGAGATATGTGTCTTCTGTACTCATGTTGTTGAGTTTTTATCATGAAGGAATGTTGACTTTTATTTTTTTCAGCGTCTACTGAAATGATTATATGGTTTTTGTTGTTGATTTGCTGAATGTGATGTTGCATATTTATTTGTGTTTATTGAATCATCCTCATATTCCTGGGTTGAATGAAATCCACTTGATCATGGCAGATGATCTTTTTATTGCATTGTCAAATGCAATTTTCAAGTATTTTGCTGAGGATTTCTTACACCTCTGTTCATCAGGGATATTTGCCTGTGGTTTCCTTTTTGTGTTGTGTTCTGGTCTGGTTTTTGTACCAGGGTCATGCTGTCCTCATAGAACAAGTTTTGAAGCCTTTCTTCCTCTTCATTTTATGGGGAATATTTTGAGTAAAATAGATATTAGCTATTTTAAAAATGTTTGGTAATTCAGCAGGAAAACCATGATTCTTGTGTTTTTCTTTGCCAGGAGACTTTTTATGACTGCTTTAATTGCATTCCTCATTATTGGTCTGTTCAGGTTTTTTATTTTTATTTTTTATCATTCTATCTTGGGAATTCGTTATGTGTCTAGAAATGTATTCACTTCCAGATTTTTCAATTTCTTTGTGATGTTTTTAGTAATCTTTTAATGCTTCGTATTTCTGGGTTACCAGTTGTAATGCCTTCTTTATGACTTTGTTTTCTTTTTATCTAAGTTCATCTAGTTAAAACTCGTCAATTTTGATTTTTTTTAAAACACCCCAGCTTTTGTTTCATTGACTTTTTGTATTTTTTGTTTCTATTTTTAAAATTTCTTCTCTAATCTTTATGGTATTTTTTCTGCGAATTCTAGCATTTGATTGTTCTTGTTTTTCTCATTACAGGAGGTGTACTGTCAGGCTATTTGAGATCTTCCTACTTTTCTGATGCAGGCATTTATAGCTATACACTTTTCCTCTTAGAATTGCCTTTGGTGCATCCCACAGGATTTATGTTGTGTTTCTATTCTTACTTGTTTCAATAAATATTTAATTTCCCTTGTATTTTTTTCATTTCTTTTATTGGTTGTTCATGAGCGTGTATTTTAATTTCCATGTATTTGTACAGTTTTTAAAGTTCTATCTGTTACTGATTTCTAATACTATTCGACTGTGGTCAGAAAAGATACTTGATATGAATTCAGTTTTTAAAAATGTGTTGGGTGACCGAGGCGGGATCACGAGGTCAGGAGATCGAGACCATCCTGGCTAACACGGTGAAACTCCGTCTCTACTAAAAATACAAAAAATTAGCCGGGTGTGGTGGCCGGCTCCTCCGGAGGCTGAAGCAGGAGAATGGCGTCAACCCGGGAGGCGGAGCTTGCAGTGAGCCGAGATAGTGCCACTGCACTCCAGCCTGGGAGACAGAGACTCCACCTCAAAAAAAAAAAAAAGTGTTGTGACTTGTTTTTTGGCCTAACACAGTCTGTCCTGTAGAATAATCGATGTGCCACTCAGTAGAATGAGCATTGTGCAGTTGCAGAGTGAAAAGCTGTGTAAATGTCTGTTAGGTCCATTCTGTATAGAGTACAGTTTAACTGATGATGTTTTGTTGTCTGGATGATCTGTCCGTTCGCGATAGTGGGGTGTTGATTACGGTGGAGTGTTGAGGTTACTCTATTATTGTATTGCAGTCCCTCTGTCCTTTAAAGCCTGTTAATATTTGCATCTATATTTAGGTGCTTCAGTGTTGGTTGCATATGCACTTAACGGCTGTTTACTTGTTTCTCATTATATAATTATCTTTATTTTTTCTTTTTTTGAGTTAAAGGCTATTTTATCTAAGTATAGCTACTCCTGCTTTTTTTGTTTCCGTTTGTATGGAATATCTCTTATCATCCCTTGACTTTGTCTGTGTATGTCTTTATAGGTGAACTGAGTTCCTTGTAGGCAGGACATAATTGGGTCTTTTAATCCATTCAGCCACTCTGTCTTAATTTAATTTACATTCAGGATTATTACAGATAAAAACATACTACTGCCATTTTTTACTTTTTTGATTGTTTTGCTTTTTCTTTTGTTCTTTCTCCCTTCCTCTTTTCTTTCTGATCTCTTTTTATTTCTTCTCTTTCCTCCTTGCCTTTCTTCCTGTCTTTATTTGTAGTGAAGTAATTTTTTCTGGTAGTGTTTTAATTCCTTGGTTTTTATGTTTAGAGTGTCTGTTGATTTTTGTTTTCTGGTTACCATGAGGCTAAACAACATAACAAGTTACTTTAAACCGAAGAAAACTTAACTTTGATTGGTCTCAGCTACTCAGGAGGCTCAGGTGGGAGGACCGCTTGAGCCTGGGAGGCCGAGGTTGCAGTGAGCTGAAATTGCACCACTGCACTCTCCAGCCTGGGTGACAGAGTGAGACCATGTCTCACAAAATAAATAAATAAATAAAAATGCAATAGCTTTATAATGAATTCTGATTGTAAATTTGGAGATGATATATTAAGGTATAAAGAGGAAAGTGAAAATCATAATCTCATTACCCAAGGATAACTACTTCTAATGTTTTGGTACATACGCTTCCTAATTCATAATCCCCTCTCTTTTACACACACACAAATGTACACGTAAAATAGACTTTACACACATAAAATTTTATTGTAACATTTTGAGAAACACGGTTTTGTAATTTTTTCTTTAAAAATATTGCAGATAAGTTCTGTGAATAACATATAATAACATACATCTTAGTTTTCAGATTTTGTTTTTTGCTCTTTTGGGTGGCAGGTTCGCTTTTGGCTAAAATGAATCGTCTCAGTATCTTTGATTTTCCTTCTCTCCTCTAAGCTGTTGCTTTTGGAAGGGGCGCCTGGATCTCCCTCCTATTTACTTGGGGGCAAACACATAGTATCAAGGGGTTTTGAAGACACGTTGCCTGTGCCAGATAGCAACACTGGCTGTAGTTCTGAAAATATTAGCGTTTTTGTCCTGTGATTAATACTAAGATGTAAATGAAGTGGTTTAGATCACTGTAGCAAATGACCTAGATATAACTGTGTGTGTGTGTTTTAGATCATTGTAGCCAATGATTTAGATACAACTCTGTGAGTACCTTTTAATTAAGGGCTCAAGATTTCTACACAGTATGTTCATTGTCTGCTTTATTTGTAGAAGTGTAAAAGCTGATACTTGGGTGATGTAAGAAAATGGATAGGTTTTACTATCACAAGGAAAAGGTAATATCCATACACTTTTGCCAAGGAGGCATGGGTTACTTAAATTGGCTTCTGGATATTGGAGTTTGGGTATGATAGCCTTACGTTGAATTTTTTGGTTACTGCTTGATAATATTTATTTCAGTAATTGTGTTTAGTAATTGATTGTGTGTGTTAATGAACAGTCCTGTCCTAAAAGCAAAAATGAAGTGGTTCAAGGGAGCATGAATTGTTAACATCTCCTTTAAACAAATAGGCTAGGTTAAAATTTTTTTACAGAGCTTTACAGTATTACATGTGAGTTTATTACACTATTACATGTCAATAAAAATGGCAGCAGAAGCTCTCTTAACTGACTTGCCAGATGGATTAGATCTCTCCATTCACTCAATAAAATGTCCATTTTATTGAGTCTTAATCCATTCAGAATCCATTTAGAAATACTATCTTATTTAACCTGTACCCTGTTTCAACTAGCAACTGGATTATAAGAGATGTGTATTAAATATTTTAGAAGACAGATTCTTTTAAATAAATAAAAATTATCACACAGGCTGTCTTAAACTTTTAAAAAAGAGATCTGATTTTAGATTTGGTTAAAATACTAGCCTACATTAGTATTCTTTCTAGGAAATAAATATTCACATAAATTGTTTTTCCAGAAATTGGCCTTGAATACAGATTTCAGATCGTTGAAAACGGAACCATTTGAAATCTGCATTTCCTTTCCTTTTCCTAATTTATTTCAGTCGCTCAATAGGATTTTCTCATGGAATTAACTTTTCCCTCTCAGCGTAGTTACATAAGCTTGCTGTTGTAATCATGAAAAATAATTACCCATTTCAGCACTTACTAACGTGGACCTTACTTGAAGGGTCTCTGGTTTTAAAGTCAGAGCACATGGCTAGAGGCAGATGAAGAGTACTTCATCATTCATAGCCACTGAGTCTCTATAATTTTTAAATGCCTTTGGAAAGCTAGATCTCATACTCAAAAGCATGCTTTTGTGTTACAAATCTTTTAGTGAACTACTTACTCAGGTCATAATGCTTTTAAAGCCCTGTTTTTCTTTCCTCAGAATAAACTGAATTACATGTTACCAATAACAATGCCACATCATTTCAAAGGAAACTGAATTAAGTAATCCAAGTCCGGGTTGCTGAAAACTAGATGACACAGGGTAGGCACTGTTTTGGTTACCGTGCAAAGGATCTCTATTAGTCAGCTTGGGCTGCCATAATAAAATACCATAGAACTGGGTGGCTTAATTTTCTCACGGTTCTGGAGGCTAGAAGCTGTAGATCAGGGTGCTGCTGCTTCGGTTCCTGATGAGGGCTTTCTTCCTGGCTTATAGGTTGGCTGGCATCTTGTCCTCACATGGCAAAGGGGAGAGTACTGTAGTCTCACCTTGTCTTAAAATGACACCAGTTCTATCAGATTAGAGTCCCACCCCATGACCTCATTTAACTGTTAGTACCTCCTCACAGGCCCTGTCTCCAAATTTAGCTATATTAGGGATTAAAGATTCAACATATAAATTTTGAGAGGGCACAAACATTCAGTCCGTAAAAGAAACTAGTTGTTTAATTAACAAGGATTGTTGAGCCCTGATATCTTGTTATACCTGCCTGTGTCCTTCCCCCATTCCCCTCCACTCTCATTTCCTCAAAAACACTCAGATAAGGATTTTTTTCAGATACTGTTATTGTTACTTATCAAACTACGTAGTAACATTATGAATTATAAATGTTATTAGCCATTGAGAAAGTAGCTGTGCACTGACTGACCCCAATTGACTGGGAGGGCTAGATGGTGCCTTCTCTGTGGTGGAAGATAGGTTGGAGAAATGTGGTTGGTAGCAAATGCTGTCTGATTTGAACAGCTTTGAAGAAGGCTGGTTCTAGTTGATTTCAGTTCTCTCCAGATGCCATTTGAATCTAAACCAATTTTCTAGTTCTTATCATTACAGAATTGTCTTCTGGAACAATTATTTCTTTTTGTTACTTGGTAGCAATATGGATGTAGTTTTCTGAATCATTAAGGCATTTTAACTCATCTTCCATTCTCTTATTTTTTAAGTCCTTTAGGTTGTTTGAGGGACATTCATCAAGGAAACCGGAGAAACTTAAAATGCTCTTCCGCTTCTTTGGAACAGTCACAGAGAAAAGTGAACTCCTTTCATTCTTGCAGTAATTTTTCTTGCTGATGGGAACAGTTCAAGTCAAGTGACATGTGAGGAACATTTTGTGTTTAACGTAAACCTTCCTGTCCCAACTACATTGAAACAGTAATGATGCGACAAGGTAACTTCGGTTTTATGCTTGTGTTGTGTATAAGCATAAATGTGTGCTATAAATGTAGGGGGGCGGGGTTTACATACTCTGAAATCGGACACATATTCTATACATCAAAACATTTTCATGAATAAAAACCAGAGAAACTATATTGACCAGGAAATAAATTTTGGATGCTCTTTATTTAAAGAAGCATTCACTAGTTTATTTGTATAAGTCAACTAACGCATTGCTTTTCTACCCATTCCTCTCTTTTGTGCCCCCCTAAGCCCTTTGTGGAGTTCTCATAAAACTGTTTTGTACTGAGTTTTATATCCATCTTCCTCTATTGAACCTTAACATTCTTGCTTCCCCAAAACCTGAAAGCAGCTGAGGCAGTAATAGTAAATGTCCAACAAATACTGGTAATGACCAACTGATAATAGATTGGTATTGCCACTCTTATCTCAGAAGCTGAATGACCGTGGTCAAGTTTCTTGACACCTCTAAGCTTCAGTTTTATCACCTATGAAATAATATAATAATGGTTATTATCTTACAGGGTAGTTATAGATATTAAACAAGGAGATACATGCTTAATAAATGTAAGCTATTATCAATGGGTAGCCTTTCCTACAAGTGGATGTAAACCAGAACACCTTAAAAGTTTCTTTGTGCTAAGTAGGTAATGTCAACCTGGTCAAGTGAAATGGCTTTTTTTCAGTTCTGGGTTGTAGGATTGTCTTAAAACATGTCTTTGAACAATTTTAAGGTCATTTTTCTCATATCCTTCTTTTACTCTTGCATGACAGTGTACTTGGCATCTTCCCCCTTGAATGTATTGCTATTGGACATTGTTAAATTTTTAGAATGAAATCAATTATCAGGATTTTAATATTTAAGGGAACATTATATGCTTCTCTGATACGGAATTATTTATCTCATAGCTTATTGAATTTCAGTTTTGTGCCCTGTACTGAATGAAATATTAAAATGCAGAATCATTTGGACCTATGAGACACAAAATCAAATTAGAATTTGTAATGACTTGTTAAAAAGATGACTACGTAAGGCCAGGCGTGGTGGATCACGAGGTCAGGAGTTCCAGACCAGCTTGGTCAAGATGGTGAAACCCTGTCTCTACTAAAAAATACAAAAATTAGCCAGGCGTGGTGGCAGGAGCCTGTAATCCCAGCTACTCGGGAGGCTGAGGCACAAGAATCACTTGAACCCAGGAAGTGGAGGTTGCAGTGAGCTGAGATTGTGCCACTGCACTCTAGCCTGGGTGACAGAGCAAGATTATGTCTAAAAAAAAAAAATGACTACTTTTTTTTGGCTATTCTAGGTCTAAGTAGAATTATTACTGTTGGTCTTTTTTGTTTTGTTTTTACAGTACTTTGAGTTGCCGTTTTAAGTAGAATTGTTATAACTAAGTAGTACAGAGTTTACTTTTTTGTCCTGGGAGTCAAATCATGTATGTCTTCTCTAAAAACTAACTTGGCTTTCTACATTTTAGGATTTCAGATACTTTGAGGAAAAAGCTAAAAGTTTGTTTTTTAAACTAGAAATGTATATGCCATTATAAGTATTTGGAATTTGAAGAAATAAATTATAACTAGACATTTTATTTTCTGACTTTTTTACTGTACATGTTAATTAAGTTCTTTGTAGAAATACAGTACAACATTGCTCTTGGTCTGCAGTATGTAAAGCTAACGGTTTAAAGAGGAAATCCTAAAGAGAATAAAAGAGGTTGCAGTATAATGAGTCGTTGTGTAGAAGTTCTGGAGCCTACTCAATAGACTGGAGAAGCTTATTTAAGGTACCATATTTCATCGAATCTAAGATGTCATAGATTATTTTTAAAAAGTGCTATTACATTATATACCTCTAAGAAGGGAAAAACACTCAGGACAGGGAGTTTAGTAGGAGACCTAACCCACAAGGCTGGTACACCTAGGGATAAATGAGAAATTAACTTGACCATCCAGAAAAGGGACCATAAAGAAGCATGCAAGTCTCAACCTTGACACTAAATAGAGAAAGAAAAAAACATTTCTCTGAGAATTTGAACCACAAGCCCTAAGCTTTGGGTGTGCAGCCTTACCACCAGTGTGGTCCACAAAGGCCTGCCACAAAGGATTAATTCAGATGGTGTTGGGCTGATAGTGTTCCCAGATGACAGCAGAAGCAGATGCACACCTTCTCTGGGAAAATTCTCCTCTAGTCTAGACCTATGGTAAGATACCTCCATTATAAAAGATGTATTCCAGTTTCAGAAATGTAGTATGTGGAAAAACCCGCCTTTTAGAATTGATAAAATAGAATTCCATCAGGACCAACTTTTCAGTGTTGTTAAACGTGTATTTTATATTTGATGAGGATCTTGAGACTGAAATGTTTTAAAAAGCCTTCTGAATTAAATTACTTTTTATATAGTTTTAGATAAAGTATCTTATAGATCAGATTTTTGAAAATTTATGACCTGTATGTAGTATATATTGTGATTTTATTATGGGAAGTATTTGATTAATCAGAGTATCCTATTCTGAGATGAAAGTTGCCTTGTTATGAAAAAGAAAGCTAACAGACATGCTCTCAAGGCATTTTTTGTTAATCTGAGAAACCATGTTCTTCTGCCTTTTCTTGCTTTGCCAGCAGTGTTTACGAATTTCTCTTAGCATCTCTTAGTATATATGAAGGACATTTGGTGTTCTTACTTCTCTGCTAAGTTACCGAATGACAAGAGAGATGTTTTCTATTATATTCATGGAATTGCATCTCTAGTGTTAGAGTTGTTTGACCACTTACTCGTGAGTTTTAAATATGTTATCCGTTTATCTTAAAGTTAGATATCTAAAGAATGTAAGACCTATGTTAACAAAAAATTTTGTTTTCTTCTGCAACTGCTCCGTATGGTTTTTGAGTGGTTCCTGCTTTTGACTGAGAACAAGGAAATGTGGAATTGTGCATAGGAATGAAATGATGGCCAGGCTTTCACTGGGTTATACACTGTCATCAGTAATAGTTCCTGACATCTCTCTCTTTCCTTAAGAGCTTTTTTCTATTCAAGAAAACAGAAATGGCATAGCCTTTTTAGTTTGCTCTTTGATTTGAGTCAGACAAATTACTTCTGGCCAGCTGATATATTTGTTTCTTTTGCTACTAGCTTTAAAAAATAAATAAATCTGACTAGAAAAGGATCTCATCCTCTTAAAATTATTGACTACATTAATACTACTCCATTTTGATCCTCCCAAATGTATTGCTTCTTGAAAAATATGTCATCTTTATTCTGTAAACTCTTAGAACCAGTAATTTCTTCTCTGGCTAAGACTGCTACTAACAAGTAGAGTGATTGCCCACTATCTAAGCCTGAAACTTAGCTTTACTAACTTCAGAGGATGTGCAAATGATTTTCTTTTTAAAGCTGTGGCATTTCACTTTACTACAAAGTACATAAATGTGTCTTTATTCACCAGTCTTTGAATGTAGGGTTAAGTCCTTTCTTTGTAAAGGAGTCTACAAATTTGAATTCAGTTTTGTCTTTACTGCATAAGCTGTACCAGTTATACATCCTTTTTTTCAATGGTTTTGTTTTTAAAAGTGTATTCAGCTTCAAAACTTTACCAAAAAGTACCAGCACTCAAATCCTACTGTTGTGCTGTTATTTGTATAGTTTCGTTTAGTGAAGTCTTACTGTTTTATAGGAGTTTCTACTGTAAGGATAATATTTTCAATCAATATTCTGTTATTTTCCAATGCTAGGCTTTGTATTTCCTGGTTAGTTTTATAGTCAATGTTAGACCTATTCTTTTATCGAGTGTGTGTGCGCGCGTGTGCACGTGTGTGTGTATAATGTTTTCAAAATTGAAACTTATTTTGGGTATGTTTTTCTTTTATTGCTTCTGTAGAACCTACTGGGTTGGTGACATTTACAAGACAGAGTCTTGAGGATTTTCCAGAACGGGAAAGGTAACAATAATAATAAAAATAATCCTAGACCCCTAGAATTAGAAGGACTCTTGCACTATGAGAGGATTCTATTTTAGAGCACCTGGAAAGATGGTTTTCCAACCTCTATCCTAGTGCCAGGGAATTTCTTCTCAGAAGTGATCCATCGATAGCTTTCATTTTTGAAAAGGTTATGCCTTTTAAATCAAAGTCTGTAACCCTTTGATTTCTACCATTTTGTCTTGGTTTTGTCTTCTGAAAGAAAGCGGTGTTTAAAATTGAGGAGTGTTGTATGTGAAGACACTAATAAAAGGAACGCCAATATATAAACGTTTCTCCTTACCCTTTTTTTGGTTAGTGTTTGAACTTTATGGCTTTTCTTTCTGGAGGACAAGATTGAGAAAAGTCTTTTTATTATTTACATTTTAGTAAATAGTAACCGTCTAGAGTTTGAGTGGCAAGAATTTTGAAGTTTGGCTGCCCTTGTGTACTACTGGTAGATTTTCTGCAAGTTGCTATTTACTGTTTGTTTCTTATTTATCAGAAAATAATTGAGGAGATAGCAGCCAATCTGAGCTAATTCAGATTTGTAAGGTCCTTAGTGTCCTGAAATAGTTAACATATTTTTTAATCTAAAGCAAGTCCCCCAATGCACTTAAAGAAGTGTGGATTAACTTTTTAAATATGTTTGAGGACATGGTGAAGCATACTAAACACATATTTAACCAATGCTTCCCATTTTCACTTTCTAATAATTTTATGATAGTTTGTAATTGTTTTGTTTGGAATTAGTGATGAATGGAAATCACTTAAAAAAAAAAGTTGAGAAGTCATATCTGCTTAGGTGGCTTTCCTGCGGTGTTTTCATCCATCAAAGATGTTTATTTGTGAAGTGAAAGATAAAGAAATTTACTCCAGAAGACTGAGTGTATGGTTTAGGTGATTATTAATAGAGGGAAGTAGATAAAAGGTTAAGAAACCTGAAGAGAGAAAAAAAATGAGCCAGAAAAAGATGAGAGCATGTACAGCATTTTGGCATCATGCCATGTCAGATCTGAAAGGAACCCCAGCCGCCTACTAAAACTCTCGATAGCTCTGTAATACCTGCAACAGTTGGAGACTGGATAGCTTCAGTGACGGCAAATCCGCTGTTGCACATCAGTTTGTTCCATTGGTGGCTGCTTGTGTTATCATCTCATGCTTTCATTCACTAAAAATGTTTTCTACATTCATTCTCCACTATTCCTGGTTCTTCCTTCTAGAGCTATGTAAATAAATCTGAATTTCTAGTTTTCTTTAAGATTTGACCTTCCTTCATGTATCTTAATGGCTTCTTGACCTACTTTCCTCTCCAAAAGTGCATACAAGTTCATACTAAACTGATTCATTTCTTCTATTTCACATGTAATATGGAGTCTAAACCCTTTATCTCTGCTCTTAACAGAGTAGATTGGTTGCAGTTTCTTGGGTGCAGGAATGAAAAAATGAGTACATTTGCCTCAGCCTCCCATATAGCTGGGACTGTATAGGTGCATGCCACTACACCTGGTTAATTTTTGTATTTTTTGGTAGAGACGGTGTATCACCCTGTTGGCCAGGTTTGTCTTGAACTCCAGACCTCACTGCCTGCCTTGGCCTCCCAAATTACT
The DNA here is from genome assembly GCF_000001405.40 of Homo sapiens. NCBI lineage: Eukaryota > Metazoa > Chordata > Mammalia > Primates > Hominidae > Homo > Homo sapiens. Next base: position 40,210,699 of record NC_000009.12, read on the forward strand.
GGGATTACAGGCATAAGTCGCTGCGTCTGGCTTGGGGGAGTTACTGTTGAAGTATTGTCTTTGTATCCCAAAGCAGGCCCTTCTGAAACTGATGATGTTGATGAAAAACTCCTTCTACTGAAGTCTTTGCAATGTATAATCTTTTCACTTCCATTTTCCTACATACTGTTTCTATTGGTTCCTTGTATTCCACAGACTGTGTTTTAGTATTTATAAGTATAGTGTTCCTTTTCTATGTGGAAAAGGGAAAATGTATTGGCCTTTTTTTAACATATAAATGAACTTCACAAGCAACAATTTTTCAAATCAGTTTTCCCTGTTGTGAATCTCGAAGTGGGTACATGATGCACTTTCCCATTTAAGGTAAAGTACACATTTATCCCTTATCTCAGAACAGTCAGAAGTCAAGTTCTTATTGTATGGTTAGTAATGCAAATATTGATAAGGTCATGTGAATACTTAGTATTTAGAAGAATTCTGAAATAGCACTTGTTACTCTGTAAGTTTTATGCATTTATTACTTTTTTTGAATTTTTTATAATGTTCCCAAACTTGACTGCCTTACTTCTATCTCTTCTGGCCTCAAGTACAACAAGATGTATTTTCTTTAGATTTAGCATATAATATAAATTCAATTGTTTATTTTAGATTTTGAAAGAACAAAGAGGAACTACAGAATCATTGCTTACATTGACACCGGCCCTGTTGTCCCAATGGATGGGTTTTTTTTGGATGAACGTCAAAATTGACCCTGCTGTTAAAGCTTGAAACTTGGATCTGTTGTATCTGAGTTCTCTCCTCAAAAAAAGACCTTCAGGAAGTATCAGATAACTGAAACATACCAGATCACAGCACCACATGCCTCCTGCCCCTCCCTAATTTCTGTTCTCTTATACATTGTTAAATTTTTTTCCTGCCCCTATTAGTCAAGCCCATGGATTTGAGACTGAGCTCCCAGCTCCTGGGCCGCAGCACCAGGTTAAAGCTTTCTTCCTTGGCAGTACTTGTCACCTCAGTGACTGGCTTTTTCTCCGATGAGCAGGAGGACCTGGACGAAACCCCTAGTGTTTGGGTAATAACATGAACGACCATCTTAACTGTTATTCTTTATTGAAATTTTACTTTTTAACTACTGGCCTCTTGTTCATTATCTCCCATTCTTTTGACTTCATATCTCTTTTTTCATTGACTTTACAGTCAAGGAACTTGATGCTCCCTAAATCCAAATATTACGGTTAAAAGAAGAGAGAGGAAATGTGTGCAGAGAAAGTGTATTTTACAAATGAATTAAAGGTGGATTCTGAGTTACAGGTTTATAGATTTACCTAGAGTTTTGAGTTCAGGTGAGTTTTCACAATATGCAGTAAGTGGAAAAGAATCCCAAAATAATTGTGACATGAAAAAGCTAGGTGTTGAAAACCAAAAAGATTTCACTTTGGTATGGCACTTTTAATTCAAGAATACTAGCCACCAAATGAGTTTTTCTGACTGTAATCATTGCTCTTTAAAAATTGAGATGTATTTATAACTTTTGTTTGACTTTTAGTACAGCTTCTGAATTTAGTTATCAATAGATAGGACAAAATAGATGAGCATCTGCTTCCCTTCCCCCTAAACAATGTATTCTTACCGAAATGTAATATATTTTTATTTATACTTGAAGACAGTGTTTTTCAATCTTTTCCATGTTAGTAGCTCAGATCTTTAAGGACAGAGGATGTGTACTGGGGGCAGTTTGTGGTCTTAATCCTAAGTGGCACTCTGATATTTTAGATTATTTCTTTCATATTTGTGAGTAAAACTTCTGCTCCAGTAGGATGAGCCTGTTTACCTTGTGACTGCCTAACAGATCTGTTGCTTTATATGCCAGTTTTTAGAAGCAGGCAGATTACGTTACTTGGATTAAAATGTTTTTGACACTAAAGGTAGTATCTTAAATTTTTACATATGAGTTACTTTAAGTACAACTTTGCTTAAATTATGGGGATCGAGTTTCCATAACTTTCACCATAGTGAAAATGGAAAGCAGGGAACATTCCACAGCAAATCCTGAACTTATTTACAGAGTTAATTGAGCAAAGCAGGCATTCACACTTGTGTGTGTGTGTCAGTGACAGATGAGCATGGTACTTGAAGCATAATTGTGCTGCTTCAGATTCCAATATCCAGTAATTTTATCATGTAGCTAGAGTAACTAATATTAAGTCCCCAAGCCTACTTGGGTCTACTGTATTTGTATTTTAAAAGAATGTTTTTAAGCTACCAAATAGACATGTTATATATTTCTTCTGAATTAGAAAACGTTATTTGGATTAATAGAGTTAATAGAATCATATTTTATGTTTATTATGTCTTTTTTTTTTTTTTCCTGAGATGGAGTTTCACTCTCGTCACCCAGGCTGGAGTGCAGCGACGCGATCTCAGCTCACTGCAACCTCCGTCTCCTGGGTTCAAGTGATTCTCCTGCCTCAGCCTCCCGAGTAGGTGGGATTACAGGCCCCCGCCACCACGCCTGGCTGATTTCTTGTATTTTAGTAGATATGAGGTTTCACCATGTTGGCCCAGGCTGGTCTCGAACTCCTGAACTCAGGTGATCCGCCCTCCTCAGCCTCCCAAACTGCTGGGTTTACAGGTGTGAGCCACTGCACCTGGCCTATTATGTCTTAAAAGTGCTTGCATCGTCACCTAGATTATTTTTTATCTTTCAATGTGAGTTTTTATTGGTTTATATGTTGTTTGTTTTCTTTTTAGGAAGCCATCATTCTTTAGAGGGCAATGACCAAACAGTACCAGCAGAAATTGAAGTACCAGCAGAAGGCTAAGAAGGTTAGGAGAAAAAGACATTTTGTATTTTACTGTTTTTTTCTTTTTTTTTTTTTTAGACGAAGTCTTGCTCTGTCACCAGGCTAGAGTGCAGTGGCACGATCTCGGCTCACTGCAACCTCTGACTCCCTGGTTCAAGTGATTCTCCTGCCTCAGCCTCCTAAGTAGCTGGGATTATAGGCACAGACCACCACATCCAGCTATTTTTTGTATTTTTGGTAGAGACCAGGGTTTCACCATGTTGGCCAGGATGGTCTCAATCTTTTGACCTCCTGATCCACCCACCTCGGCCTCCCAACATGCTGGGATTACAGATGTGGGAGCTTGGCCACCTCCTCTTGGGAGAAATGCACTGATTCTGGTTGCCACGTGGATTTATTTTGGGAGTGATATTCATCTAACTTCATGGAAATAATACTAGATAGAGAATTCATCCGCTAACTTTCTATCTGATGAGAGTTTTGGGCAAATCGAATACCAAGTTACCAAGTTTTGTTTTTTTCTCTGATGCAAAAAAACAATTTGCCAGCCAGTGAAAAACTCTCACAGCTCTGGATGTGAGTTTAGGATACTGGATTTCTACCATTCAATTTCTTACTACTTTTCTTGCACAGGGATCATGGCACAAGCTGCAGTTTCCACCCTGCCCATTGAAGATGAGGAGTCCATGGCAGATGAGGAGTCCGTTGAAGATGAGTCCGCAGAGAACAGGATGGTGGTGACATTGCTCATATCAGCTCTTGAGTCCATGGTGAGACCTTCCGTTCTAACATTCTGTAATTGGGTAGTACTGGGTGGTAGATAAGGTTGATTTGTTTTTGTAGAATTTATAATTTTATGATTTATAGTTCTAATGAGTAGATCTTTTTCTTGAATAGTAGTTATGGTCAAACACTTCTGACCAAATGTGCCATGTTGTCCAGCCTGGTCTCAAAATTTGGGGCTCAAGAGACCTGCCCACCTTGGCCTCCCAAAATACTGGGATTACAGGTGTAAGCCCCTGAATCTGGCCAGATATTTTTCTTTTTATGGCTGAATAATACTCTGTGTATGTATATATTACATTTTCTTTATCCATTCACCTACTGATGGGCATTAGGGTTGGTTCTACCTTTTGGCCACTGTGAATAATGCTGCTGTTAAACGGGTGTACAAATACCTGTCTGAGTCCCTGCTCTCAGTTATTTTGGGTATATACACTTAAAGGGTGTTGGTGGATCATATAATTCTGTGCTTAATATTTTTAAGGAGCTGCTAAACCATTTTCCACAGTGGGCTGTACCATTTTACATTCCAAAAGGCAATGCATACAGCTTCCAATTTCTCTATAGCATTGCTGACAGTTAATATTTTCTGTTTATGTACTGTATTTTTATAGTGTTTGAAATTAATCTGAGGGTTTTTGCTGATACCAAAATATTAGGAAAGGTTTTCCAAAAATAATACTGCTTATTATAAAGAATTTTATGTGTTACTTGATGCCCTGTGATCCATTTTCTCAGTAAGAAGAGGAACTTCTCGGCTGGGCGCAGCAGCTCATGCCTATAATCCCAGCACTTTGGGAGGCCGAGGCAGGTGGATCACAAGGTCAGGAGTTCAAGACCAGCCTGGCCAACATAGTGAAACCCAGTCTCTACTAAACAAACAAAAATTAGCTGGGTGTGGTGGCGGGCACCTCTAATCCCAGCTACTCGGAAGGCTGAGGCAGGGAATTGGTTGAACCTGGGAGGCGGAGGTTGCAGTGACCGAGATTGTGCCACTGCACCCAGCCTGTGTGATAGAGTGAGATTCCATCTCAAAAAAAAAAAAAAAAAAAAGGAAAGAAGAGGAACTTCTCTCCATTCAACCTCATTCCACTGCACCAACTCTTCTGTGTCGGGTTGTGCAGGGGAGAAAGGGAGCTTGGCACCTCTTTGCTGTGTTGAGTTGTGGTAGCCCATCACTGGGTTGTAAAGTGCATTGCCTCCTCCCCCCCCCCCTTTTTTTTTGAGACAGAGTCTCACTCTGTCACCCAGGCTCAGGTGCAGTGCTGAGATCTCTGCTCACTGCAACCTCAGCCTCCTGGGTTCAAGCGATTCTCCTGCCTCAGCCTCCCAAGAAGCTGGGACTATAGGCACGTGCCACCACACCTGGCTAATTTTTTTTATTTTTAGTAGAGACGGTATCACCATGTTGGCCAGGCTGGTGTTGAACTCCTGACCTCAAGTGATCCACCCACCTTGGCCTCCGAAAGTGCTGGGGTTACAGGCATGAGACACTGCGCCCATCCACCTCCTCTTTTACTTGGGAGAAATGCGCAGATTCTGGGTGCCATGTGCATTTGGGAGTGATACTGATCTAACTTATGGAAATAATACTAGATAGAAAGTTAGTGGATGGATTCTCTATCTGATGAGAGTTTTGGGCAAAACGAATTCCTAGTTTCTGAGTCTTATTTTTCCCCTGATTCAAGAAAACTGTGAATTATCCAGCCGGTGAAAAACTCTCACAGCTCTGGATGTGAGTTTAGGACACTGGATTTCTACCACTCACTTTCTTACTACTTTTCTTGTGCAAGGATCATGGCACAAGTTGCAGTTTCCACCCTGCCCATTGAAGATGAGGAGTTTGTTGAAGATGAGGAGTCCTTGGAGAGCAGGATGGTGGTGACATTCCTAATGTCAGCTCTCGAGTCCACGGTCAGACCTTCTGTTCTCACATTCTGTAGTTTGGTAGGACTGGGCAGTAGATAAGGTTGATTTATTTTTGTAGAACTTACAATTTTATGATTTTCAGTTGTAATGAGTAGACCTTTTTCGTGAATAGTAGTTATGGTTAAACACCTCTAACCAAATGTGCATGTGGAGTTTCTACACTGATTTTCAGACAATCTGGATCCCAACTGGGTATCCCACAATTCCATCCTGACACTCCCTGGAGTTAGTGCAGACCCCGCAGGATGGGGTCTCAGTCCCAGGAGTCTACCCTCACTCCACATGCCAATTGCAAGTCTTGGGTTGTTACATGTAGTTTTGACCGACCAGTTAGAAAACAGGGTTTCATGACCCCATTGCTGGGTGGAATCATTTGCTCGGACAGCTTGCAGAACTCAGAAAAACAGGTTGTTTTTTTTTTTTTCTGAGATACAGGGTCTCAGTCTATTGCCAGACTGGAATGCAGTGGTGTGATCAAAGCTCACTGTAGCATGGGACTCCTGGGCTCAAGTGATCCTCCCACCTCAGCCTCCCAAATAGCTGAGACTACAGGCCCGCACCAGCATATCTGGCTAAGTTTTTTTATTTTTTGTAGAGAAGGGGTCTTGTTATGTTGCCCAGGCTGGTCTCAAATTTCTGGGCTCACATGATCCTCCCACCTCAACTTCACAAAATGCTGGGATTATGGGTGTGAGCCACTGCATCTCACCAATTTACTTTCTTTTACTGGTTCATTTTAAAGGCTATATCTCAGAAACAGCCGGTGAAAGAGATGTACATGCTGGGCACAGTGGCTCATGCCTGTAATTTCAGCTCTTTGGGAGACTGAGGCGGGAGCATCGCTTAAGTGCTCAGGAGATTAAGACCAGCCTGGGTAACACGGTGAAAACGCATCTCTACAAAAAGGTTTTTCTAAAAATTAGCCAGGTGCAGTGATCTATAGTTCTGGCTACTCAGTGCCTATAATTCTAGTTACTCAGGAGGCTGAGGTGAGAGGATGAGAGATGGGGCTTGAGCTAGGGAGGCATAGGTCGCAGTGAGCCACGATTGTGCCACGGCACTCTAGGCTGGGGGACAGAGCCAGACCCTGTTTCAAAAAAAAAAAAAAAAAAACCACAGGGCAAGGTGTGTCGGGAGGTCGGGAGGGGTGCAGAACTTCCATGCTCTCTATTGCGCGTGTTACCTTCCTGCTATCTCCCTTGTGTTCAGCAACCCCGGCATTCTCCAAATCTGGTTGTTGAGGTCATTTATGAAGGCTTCTTTAAGCAGGCATGATAGATGAAATCATTGACTATTGGTGATTAAGTCAGTCTTCGGCCACTATTTCTTCCTGGAGCCCAGTGGGTGAGGCTGACAGTTCCAAGCCTCTAATCACATGGTTTGTTCTTCTGGCAACCAGCCCTTTTTCTTAAGCGGTCTAGGAGCTTTCAGTCACCCAGTCATCTCAGTAACATCACCAAATGCATTCTTACTGTGGTGATCCCAAAGGTCTTAGAGGCTCTTGTGTTAGAAACCTGGGACTAAGACCAAATATTCAAACAAAAGATGGGGTCCTATCACCTTTATCACCAAGGCCTTTATAAGAACTTGAGAAGCTCTGTGCCAGGACGAGGGGCAGAAACCAAATGTGTATTTTTTTTCTTTTTCTTTTGAACACAGAGTCTCTGTTTCACCCAATCTGGAGTGCAATGATGCAGTCGTAGCTAACTGCAGCCTCAACCACCTGGGCTCAAGCAATTCTCCCACCTCAGCCTTCCAAGCATCTGGGACTACAGGTGCACACCATCCATGCCCAGCTGATTTTTGTATTTTTTTGTAGAGATGGGATCTTGTTATATTGCCGAGGCTGGTCTTGAACTCTGGGGCTAAAGCAATCCTTTCACCACAGCCTCTCAAGTAGCTGAAACTACAGATGCATACCACCATGCCCAGCTAATTTTCTCTTATTTCTTTTTGTTGTTTAATTGAGGGGGGGGGGGTCTCACTGTGTTTCCCAGGCTGGTCCCGAACTTCTGGCCTCAAGCATTTCTCCTGCTTTGACCTCCTAAACTGTTGGGATTATGGTTGTGAGCCCCGGCCTCTGTGTCCAGCAATCACAAGAGGTCTTTATAAGTGAAAGAGGGAGGTAAGAGAGTCAGAATTGAAGGAGATTTGATGGTGGAAGCACAGGTCACAGAGGGAGATTTGAATATGCTTTGCTTCTGGCTTTGAAGATGCATTTAGGGGCCATGAGGCAAAGAATAGGGGTGGCTTTTGGAACTGGGAAAGGCAAGGGAACACCTTCTCTCTGGAACCTCCAGAAGGGATGCAGTCCTGCTGACACCTTGACTTTAGCCTTAATAGACCTATTTTGGACTTCTGGCCCCCAGACCTGTTAGGTAGTAGATTTGTGGTGTATTAAGCCACTCAACGTAGGGTAGTTTGTAACAGCAGCAAGAAGAAATGAACATGAAGCCAGGGGTAGTGGCCCACACCTATAATTCCAGCTATTTAGGAGGCTGAGGCAGGATGGTTGCTCTGGCCCAGGAGTTCAAGATAAGCCTGGGCAACAAAGTGATACCCTGTCTACATGGGAAAAAAAAATTAGCGGGTGTAGTGGCATGCACTTGTAGTCTTAGCTACTAGAGGCGCTGAGGCAGGACGATTTCTTGACCTAGGAGTTCCAGGTCTCAGTGTGTTGTGATCGTGCCATGGTGCCCCAGCCTGAGTGACACAGCGAGATTATATCTTAAAAAAAAAGTAAAAAGAAATGAGTGAGCATGGCAGGAATGGGGACACATAGCAATATTAAATAGAGTGGTCAGGGTTGGCCTCCTAAGTGAAAATTGAGCAAAGACTTGAAGGAGGGGAAGGAGCTGGCCAAGGTACTGAGGGAAGAGCATTATAGGCAGAAACAACAGAATAAAGATGCTAAGAGGGAACTCCGTGGTGTGTCTGAAGCTCAGGAAAGAGGATTGTCGAGCAGAGAGGGGGAGAGAAGGTAGGGGAGGAGGCCAGGGAGTTGTGGGACTCAGATCAGTACAGATTGTGCAAGCCCTGGGAGGCTATTGCTGGGGCTTTGGCTTTTATGCTGTCTGAGATGGGAGATGCGGAAGGGTTCTGAGCAGAGAGGTGACACGAACTGTCTATTGATTTAAAAGCATCCCATGGTGGCTGAGTTGAGAAAGATTGTGGGAAGATTTGGGTAGAAGCACGGAGGCCAAGCTGTGGCAACATCCAGGTAGGAGATGATAGTGGTTCTGACCAGGGTCCTGGCAATGGTGAGAGATGGTTGATTCTTGTTGAGATACTAAGTAATTAAAAAAAAAAAACACTACTGCTTTTCCTGATTATATGAAGTATGGGATGCTAGATTAAAGACATCTTAAGTCGGGCCAGGTGCAGTGGCTTACGCCTGTGGCGTCAGCACTTTGGGAGCACTTTGGGAGGCACAGATGGCACAGATGGGAGAATTGTTTGAGTCCAGGAGTCTGAGACCACCCTGGGCAACATAGCAAGACCTCCTGTCTATGCAAATAAAAATTAATAAAATATAATTATCATGGGATAGTGGTATTTTCCTGTAGAACCAGTTACTCTGGTTGTCGAGATGGGCAGATCTCGAGGGTGGGAGTTTGAGGCCAGCTTGGGCAACATAGCAAGGCTCCTCTTTCTACAAAAAAAAAAAAAATCATCTGGGTGTTGTGGTCCCAATGAGGGACAGCATTCCTGAGACTTTTTAAGTACTTTGTGTGATGGTCTAATAATCATAGCCTTAAAACTTTCTGGCTGGGCATGGTGGCTCACACCTGTAATTCCAGCACTTCAAGAGGCCGAGGCGGGTAGATCATCTGAGGTGAGGAGTTCGAGACCAGCCTGGCCAATATGTGAAACCCTGTCTCTACTAAAAATACAAAAATTAGCCAGGCATGGTTGCAGCACCTGTAATCCCAGCTACTCGGGAGGCCAAGACAGGAGAATTGCTTGAATCCGGGAGGCAGAGGTTGCAGTGAGCTGAGATGGGCCACTGCACTCCAGCTTGGGCAGCAGAGTGAGACTTGGTCTCAAAGAAAAGTTATTGTGATATGCTGTACACATTCACAAATTCAGTGTCTCCCAGAAGTGTGAGATTCTTTTTTTTTTTTTTTTTTTTTTGAGACAGAATTTCACTCTTGTTGCCCAGGCTGGAGTGCAATGGTGTGATCTTGGCTAACTGCAACCTCCACTTCATGGGTTCAAGCAATTCTCCTGCATCAGCCCAAGTAGCTCCTGCCTCCCAAGTAGCTGGGATTACAGGCATGTGCCACCATGCTCAGCTAATTTTTTATTTTTAGTAGAGTTGGGGTTTCTCCACGTTGGTCAGGCTGGTCTCGAACTCCCGACCTCAGGTGATCCACCCGCCTCGGCCTCTTGAAGTGCTGGGATTACAGGTGTGAGCCACCATGCCCAGCCAGAAAGTTTTAAGGCTATGATTATTAGACCATCACACACACACAAAGTACTTAAAAAGTCTCAGGAATGCTGTCCCTCATTGGCCTGGTATGACAAAGATAAGAAGTCGGTCGTGAAAATTTCTGAACGTGGTTTAGGACAAGGAACCCCAGTAAGATTCAGAGACAACCTAGAAAATTGAAAGAAAATTTTACTACTGAAATCATCCTTCTATAAAAAATAATAGAAGATGTCAAATATGAAAATAAAACTGTCCTCTGGGCCCTCAATTTTCTGTGTCATGGGAGAAGGCAGACAGCTACTCAGCAGTTATATCCCATAAGAATGGATAATACTAAAACAACTGACAGCATCAAGTATTGGTTAGAAAGTGGAACTGATTCTCTCATTTTCATTGTAGTTTAAGATGGCATAACCACTTAGGAAAATGTCTCCCCATTTCATACAATGCCAAATATATACTTATTTTATAACCCAGAAAATCCACTCTTATGTACTTAAACTCAAGAAAAGTGAAAATATTATTACAGAAAAAAATATGTATATCTGATTTGTTCGTAGCAGGTTTATTCATGATAGCCTCAAATCAGAAACTGCTTTTGTGTCTATCAATAGTGGAATGGATTAAAAACAAAACAAGCAAAGGCCTCAAACCTGTGGTATAGTCATAAAGTTGAATATTAGAAAATAATGAATAATCAATAGGAGCAAAATGATGTGTCACAAGCATGTTTAGTGAGTGAACATAAAAATTATATAATTTATAGTTTCACTTACATAAATGGTGAAAACAGACAAAACTAACCTTTTGTGGAAAGAATCAAAACCGTGGAAGCCTCTGTGTTCAAATACTGACTGGAAATGGGCAGGAGAAAACATGTTTCTGCCAGATCTTCTATATGCCTGATGTGCATTCACTCGATGTATTTTGCGTATACTATTTTTGCAAATAAAACTGAGATAAAGGCAAAATAACTCAAGAGAAGATAGATAGAAATAGGTAGAGTTGGGATAGAAGCCTTCGAAGCTACCCCCGTACCTTGCCCACCTGGCACAGGCCGAGGAAGTCCTGGGACAATGCTGTGAGCGACCTGAGGGCCGTCCAGGGGAGCCCCGCCAGCCCATGCTGGCGCCTGAGCTGCCCGCCGCCATCTGAATATGTTGCAAAGACAGTGCTGGCCTGGCAACCGGTGACGCCCCACCCCGACCCCCACTTCTACCCAAGTAGTGGCTACGCTAGAGACAGATTCCTGGGCGGCAGCGGTTAAGTCTGGCAGTTGGCCAGGTGGCCAAAGGACGGGAACTGGCCGTTCACCCCATCCCAGTTCCACAGAGAACTCAACCACTATGGCCCCTGAGCGGACCTTCAGGCCTGGTGGGCTGTGCTCTGTGCCTGCAAACCTGACGCCATCCAGGGGAGCTCCGCCTTCCCGCGCCAGCGCCTCGGCTGCTGCAGAAAACTGCAAAACTGCAAGTTGCACACGGGCAGAGATGACGGAGCAACCCCCGACCCTCCGCGCCACTCACCCTACCTGCACACCTGCCGCGCGGACCCTGGGGCGGGTGCCTGGGTGCCCAAGTCAGGCAGTCCGCACAGCAGTGGCACCAGGGTGAAAACCTGCTGCTCGGTACCATCCCGGTTACCACGAAGAGCCAGTCCCGGCGGCCCCTGCGTTCTTGGAGGAGGCCAAGTCAGAGCAACCTCTCAAGTGGGAGGGCGATGCACTTGACCCTGAGGACATCAGGTACCAGGCCCGCCAGCTCACGCCTGCATCGGAGCCGCAGCTGCAGTCTAGACGTGGTGCACCGGCAGCAAGTGACTGGACACTCCAGACCAGGCCCGCCCCGCAGTAGCGTGGATCCTGAGGCCAGACCCCCAGGCGGCAAAATCAGGCAACCGGCCCCGCCAGCAGCCGCTGTTTCATCCGTGTGGACACAGAGTGCCCAGCGCCAGGGCCCAGGATCCAGAAAGATGTCCAAGAGGAGCGGACCTTGAGGCCAGGTGGGCTGTGCGCTCTGCGGCCCTGAGGCCATCCAAAGGAAGCTCCGCCATCCTGCGCCAGTGCCAGATCTGCAGCTGCAAACCGCGCGTGTGGCACTGGCAGCAGTGAGGGCGGGTGGGGGAAGGAGCAGTCCCTGACTCTGCCTCCATCCCTCTCCAGCTACCTGACACTAGCCACACAGACTTCAGGGTCAGAGCCTCAGCGTTCAGCCAATCCGCGAAGCCACTCAGGTGGCCGCGGAGTGCCCTTGCCAGCACCCTATCTCCCTTCTGAGGAGGAGCGGGGCGGGCTGCAAGGCCAGACAGGCCCTCCTTCTCAGGCCGGGCTGGCTGCGCGCCTGCGATCCTGGGGCTGCCCGGGCGATCCCAGGAGAACCGGCGAGCCCATCGGCGCACGCCCAGAGCTGCAGCCCCACCTGCTGGCGCGCGCCGCCAGGGAGCGTCTTCTGGGAGCCCGGCAGCAACTGCCGTGCAGGCGCGCGCCCAACGGCTTTGCGAGGCTCACTCGGTCTGAGAGGTCGGAGGCTGCGAGTGTCGCTGCTGAAGGCTGTGGTGGACCGGGCTGGATCGCGGATTGTGTAGATTATAGATTTGAAATAGCGGAGTTGGGGTTGGATCGGGGCTTTGGGGTTGGATAGGGGATTTGGGGCTGGGTCGGCCGGGGTCGGGGAGGGGGTTGGTGAAAAGGTGACAGGGAGCTGCCCTCGCTCAAGAGCCGGTGGTTGGGGGTCTGAGAAGAAGTCACCAATATGAAGTTATTCGGCTTCGGGAGCCGCAGGGGCCAGACGGCCCAGGGCTCCATAGACCACGTCTACACGGGTTCCGGATACCGAATCCGGGACTCCGAACTGCAGAAGATCCACAGGGCAGCTGTCAAAGGCGACGCCGCGGAGGTGGAGCGCTGCTTGGCGCGCAGGAGCGGAGACCTGGACGCCCTGGACAAGCAGCACAGGTAGCGGGGGCTCAGCCCGGGGTGGGAGGGGGCCCCCAGGCCCGGCTTCCCCGCAGACCCTGGGACGGGGCCGTGCAGGGCGCCGGGCACCCTCGGAGCGGCGGAGCCAAACGGACTCTCAGCTGTTTTCCATCCCTCATAATTCCCTGGCTGGAGCAGTTGGAGAATTTGAGTGATTTAACTCACAAAGTTAAGCATATACAGCGTTGTTATTTTTAACGTACACGTTTAAAACATGGTTTATATACATTATAGGAGGTGCCTAATGAGAGTACTTGTTCCCCTATCAAAAATAACCGTGAGTTGTTTCAGTGGGCGAAAAGTTCTCAGATAAGAGAGCTTACTTGAAAAATATTTACTATATTATATATATATATTTTTTCAGATGAAAAGTATGTTTTCATTTTATAGGGAATTCATTATATTCTTTTTTTTTTTTTGAGTCGGAGTCTCGCTTCTTTGCCCAGGCTGGTGTCCAATGGCACAATCTTGGCTCACTGCAACCTCTGCCTGCCCGGTTCAAGCAATTTTCCTACCTCAGCCTCCCAAGTAGCTGGGATTGCAGGCAGGTGCCAGCATGCCTGGCTAATTTTTGTATATTTAGTTTCACCACGTTGGCCAGGCTGGTCTCGAACTCCTGACCTCAAGTCATCTGCCCGCCTCCGCCTCCCAAAGCGCTGGGATTATAGGTGTGAGCCACCGCGCCTGGCCTATGTTGTTTATTATATATCATAAGATATATATATATATTACTGATATGTATACATATATAACACATATAATATGTTATAAATATCAGTTATATATACACATTAGATGAAAAGTACCTCTTCATTTTACAGGGAATTCTTTCAAATCAAATTATCAAACACTCTAAAAGTGGGCAAAGTACCTTTTTCCAGATCTACAAGTTACTTATATACATAGGAAAAAATCCTTCGCATTTCTGGTATAAGAATTTAAACTAAAAGAGGAATGAAACAGTTTTCTATCCACAATATTTGTGAGGATGTTTTATACTGCTGCTTAAAGTTGCTGATTACTTTTCAAAGTACTCATTTGAAAATGGTAAGTACTACATTTAAAAAATGTGTATGCCCTTTACCCACCAATTCCATTATACTAAAATACCCTTAGGAAATAAAGATACATGCACTTTATTTTTCACAGTACTTATTTTAAAGAGAACCCATAGAATGGATCCTATAAATAAATTTCAGTTGCATCCATAGGATGGAATAATATGTGACCACTGAAGGTGGCAATAGATACAGAAGTACGTTGATGTGCAAAGATGTATTTTGTTATAGCTAGCAAGGAGAAAAAATTAGTTAAATTATACATACACAAACATACTATGGTCTTGTTTTAGCAAAAATATGTACAAAATATAAAATTTGTAATTTCTGAGCATTTGTATTTTAAGTAAAGTTTTTTTCCTTTTTCTTATCTGTGATTGCTGCAGTGAGTACAAAACTTCTAGTAAAAGTTTATTATTAATGGACTAATCCTTGGGAAGAGAGGAATATGAATCTTGTGCTGATGAAAATAATTTCTCACTTTCTATTTTTTATCATTATTGTGTGTGTTGTTATCTTCTTTGAGCTTTTAGCCTCTTCAGAAGTAAAAAGGGAATGTTTTTATCTGTTTCCAGATTTTATTATCTATATATTTTATTATGTACATATGTTTTGCTTATATACTCGTTCCATTTATGCAAACATAATCATTTCATTTTAATTGTATTCTTTAAAAATAAAACAACACATATAAATAATTACTATTGCAAAAATATTGCTTTATAGGAGTTTATTTAAAAATAATGAACTCCCCAACTGTATTTATCCATTCTTTCATTCCATTTATGGATCAAGCATAACCTGAGTACCTGCTATGTAGCAGACATATTCTGTCATCTCTCAGGACCCGTCCATCCTTAAACACTTCATGTTTACCTGCCCCGCCTGCACAAGCTGAGAGATTTAAAATAGGAATATTGGGACTTAATCTCCTTGAAACTTTATCTCCCACCTTTCAAACAAAAGCATTTCTGAAGTTAGAAAATAGTAGAAGATAACCTTTAACTGCTCTTTCGAAAGTTTGTCAGTCTTAAATACTAATATTAATCATTGGAAAGTCTTATTTGCATATATTTTCTAAGTATAAATATTGAATACAATGAGCCATATGTATTCATTTGAATCATGAGTTTCCTTTGGCTTCAAGTTGTTTGAAAATCAAAGAATTAATTTGTTTAAAAAATGCATTATTGTTATTTCAGTGCTCTTTCCCCATAGTACCTTTAAGAACTAAAATGTATTTAAGTTTCAGTTACATGCCTAGAACTGCCCTAGACCTGCTGAGTATACCATATTCTACTTAATGTAAGGTCTCATGGATTGCGTGATGCCCCGATATTTTATATATCAATAAGATAATTTTTAAAATGCTACCAATTATAGTTATAACAAATCATGAATTATAAGTGGCATTCCAATGTCAGAGGTGTTAAAATGTGACCTACTCGTTAAGTCATCTTGCAAAGTAGGTGTAATTGTATCATTCTACCTAATTAAAATGGTTTTGTTAAGTAGTAGTAATAGTAATAATTATAATATCTGGCTGGGTGCAGTGGCTCACACCTGTAATCCCAGAACTTTGGGAGGCTGAGGTGAGAGGATTGCTTGATGCCAGGAGTTTGAGACCAGCCTGGGCAACAAAGTGAGATTCTTACTCTACAAAAATTTTTAAATAAATAGCTGGGCATGCTGGTGCTCATCTGTAGTCCCAGCTACTCAGGAGGCTGGGGATGGAGATCATTTGACCCAGGAGTTCCAGGTATAGTTACACCATTGCACTCCAGCCTGGGCAAAAGAGTGAGACTTTGTCTCAAAAAACAAAAATCTTACAATTATTGAGTTGTCGTAGGAACTGTTCTGCATACTTTACATAGCTTCTCATTTAAGCATCATGATGGTGTCCTATGAGATAGCTACTATTGTCATCTTTATTAATGAGGAAGTTGAGGTACAGAAAGGCTAAGCAATAGTTGGTAAGTGTCAAGGCTTAAAGTAGGACTCAAGCCCTAGTTGAACCGAATCCAAAGACTGAGCTCTTTCTACTCAAATAGGCTGCTGTTTTCATTAAGGCAGTGAGCAATAAGAGTAAGTATTGTACTTTCTTCAAAAAATTTATTTGTTTTGAAGGCAGAGGAAAAACATGCTATTCAGTTTTTACATTACATGAATGATTGTATGTTTTGAGATATTGTACTACAGTTTCTTAAAAAATCCTCTTACTCTCATAGAACTGCTCTACACTTGGCCTGTGCCAGTGGCCATGTGCAAGTGGTCACTCTCCTGGTTAACAGAAAATGCCAGATTGATGTCTGTGACAAAGAAAACAGAACGCCTTTGATACAGGTATATTAGAGCCAACTCTTTTAGCATGACATGGATTTGATTTACATATATAGAATTAAAATAAATTGATCTCATTTACATATAACTAGTTGGTGAAACCTGTGGAATGTGTATTTTGAATTCTTGGAATTTACAATCTGTTTCTTGGTCTAACACGGACAGGCTGTCCATTGCCAGGAAGAGGCTTGTGCCGTTATTCTGCTGGAACATGGCGCCAATCCAAACCTTAAGGATATCTACGGCAACACTGCTCTCCATTATGCCGTGTATAGTGAGAGCACCTCACTGGCAGAAAAACTGCTTTCCCATGGTGCACATATTGAAGCACTGGACAAGGTATAGGTCAATCAACTTTCTTTCCAAAATATTTGTTTTAACATTGACATAGGTAAGGGTCAATTTTTTATATTTGGAAGCTCAACCATTCCCTGAATGCAAATACAAATTAAGTTATTTTGAAATAACTTAATTGTCTAAGATTTTATTTTAAATATTGATACTTTTAAAGAAGCATTAAAGGGCACAGCTTTATAAAATGCACTTTGGAAAATATTTGTGAATTTGTTAAAGGTAAAACCTTTTCAACTTTTTTTCTACACAGGCTTATTCTTTTTTTTTTTTTTTTTCTTAATTAGTGTAAAACAACAAAGGAAAGAAAATATTCCCCGGAAATAGGCTTTATCCTAAAACTCAAACAAAACTAAAGCAACTTACAATAAAGGGACATGTTGCTGCTGCTGCTAATTTTCTGAAAAACTGATGTATCATCTTTCAGTGGCAAGGCTTAAGAGGGAAAAATGGGAGGGGAGAAAGAGAGCGATCAGAAATATGCAGGTCACTTGGATATTAGATAATGAGGGAAAATGCCAGGAAGAGGTTTTTTTTTGTTTTTAAGTTTGTTTTATGTGTTGAGACAAGGTGCTGTTTAGCTTTGGGTCTAATAATTTTTGGTTTGAAAAAGAATGAGTTGCAACTTGCCTAGAGATGAATTTTAGGAGGACTCTGAGGAAACCAGATTGGCAGTGAATATGTGGTGACGAAGTGAGAAACACTTCAGCAGAAGGTGGAACAAATTATTAACTGACTTATTGCTCATCCTGGCAGAAACAGCCACTTAGATAAGAACCTAAAGCCTCCTCTCAAATCTAGAATGTCTTAGTGGGAAGGTGGGAGATAAGGAGCTTGTAAATAGCAAAATCAAGTGGGATTTTGAGTTTACTTGTCCCTGTTCTACCCATAGCCAGGAAACTTAACTGGAGTTTTAATAAATGACACTATCTCTTACTCTTTTCTCTTTTTGGCCACATCTCCAACTGATAAAGGAATTAGCCATGTGGGTGAGAGGTGAGACTGAAGTGATTGTCTGCTGCACTGATTCTCAGAATTGTGCATTACAGTGACCTGAGGACATTTTGTTAAAAATCTACAATTGTAGGCTTTCCCCTGAAGATTTTGATGTAATAGACCTAATAAGGCCTGAACGTGTTTAAAAATGTTTTCTTGAAGCTGGGCACAGTGGTGTATTCCTGTAGTCCCAGCTTGAGCCTAAGAGTTTGAATCCAGCTTGAGCAACATAGTGAGACTCTTGTCTCTAACAACAATAATAGCCAAAAAAAAAAAACCACAAAAAAACAAAAAACCTTCAAGGTTGGGATACACTCTTGATTAAAAACCCCAGAATAGATAAGTGCAATATATAAATTTCTGTATCTCAAAAATGTAAGAAATCTCTAGAAGAGTTGGCATTTGATAGTTGCCACTTCCTTCAAAGTTCTCCTTTTCAATTATATTAGCCTGACTTATCTGTCTTTCTCTACATCTGTGACTGGGAAGTGAAAGGAAATATCATTGGCAATATCTCTCAGCTTACAGAATAACATGTTTTGCTTCCCACCATGAATCATTCACTACCATTCAGAGAGTATTCAGAAATTTGCTTATGAGTAATCTTTCAACAGGTAGAGGCTGACCCTTTCATGATTTCATGTCCCTTTGTCACCACGCAGGTGATTATGTGTCAACAAATGTTCATTACAAGTTTGGCTTTCTCAATTAAGATAGTAGCAAATCCTAAACTATTTTTTTTAGTTGAAGTTTTATTATGAACTATCTCAGTATGTTTGTTAAGTTTATAGAACTTTAGCATACCCAAAATGTCAGTTTTAAACACTGAAATCCATGAAGTTAATAAGAATATAGATAGGAATTCTTTTAATAATTTAGTTTTAGCAGTCTTGTGAACCAATTATCTATTTGGTTAACAATCTTGGAAAATTATATACAAACATATTTTAAATGAATACATGTTAGAAAAATTCTTGAAGCAGGTATTGTGAGTCTTTTTAGCAATTTTTATTATATATGAGAGCCTGATTTTTTGGTAGAACATATGATACCAGAGAAAGAAAATATTTTACATGCAAATACTTGGATTATACACAACCATTTAGTAACACATTAATAGCGAATATAAAAAAAACAAGGGCTATATTCTAATGTGGTACACAGATTTGTTTGTTTGCCTCTATAAGTTGAATCAACATGTAAAATTTAGAAGACTCGTGAAGAAATGTGGACTTCAGGCGTATCCTAAAAAATCAAATCTGGTGTCCCCTGAGTTTCTATCATTCTTTGGTCTGCTGTGCAGAAGTTGCCCCTTTATAGAAGGCAGGTATTCTCCAGTTTGCTACTGTGCCCACCTTAGTACTTCCCTTACTCAGGCAACCTTCCTTTGTCCTTGTAAGTATCTGAGTTTACAACTCCTATGTTATAGTATATTTTGATAAAAATTTCAAGGTTTTTAAGTCAGCATGTATTTGTTTATAATATATAGTCTATAGAGTATATAAATCCCTCAGTTATGGAGTTGAATTTTAGAGTTTAGAAGTTTTTAACTCTTTTCTTTATATATACCACAAATAATTCTCTGCCCATAAGAATGCCTAGAAGCCTTTTTAGGTTATTCCTGGTTATAGTTGGATAATTTATGAATATTGCAGACAGTACATCCTTCTCCTCAGTGCTCTTCCTTAAGGATGCAAGTGACTTATTGGCTTGTATTATGCCAGAAATAATCCATGTGGATCAGTATGAGAACTTCTATTGATAAGCCATTATGTTTTTATTTCTGATTTATATTTTGTCTAAAATAAAAAATAATTTTAAGTAGCCATTTAAGTGGAAGCCAGTAAAAATGGATTTAAAAAGTAGAGCTGCACTAGGGTCCCGGGATTACCATTATAATTGAGAATAGTATTTCTTACTGAGTTTTGGTTTTTAAAATATTTGTTCTTAAGTTTTTTAAACCTATCTCTCTTACACAGAATATACTGAGCTTTCTAACAGTAAAGATAAAAATCTCTTCTCTTGTATTAGGGGAAAAACCCATGGACTATTTAATAATAAGGAAAATAAATGCATTTGAAGCCAATCTCTCTTAATTCAAAGCTCATTTCCATGGTGACCCATTTGGAGCAGGAGTGCCTGACATTGGCATCTGGGATCCTGACACCATTCATAAAAGTGAATCAAGCAAGTTTGTACCACCCAGAGGGAACTGCCACCTGTATTGGGAAGCTCTGGCAACTGTATCTCTGAAACTCTTAATTCCTCAAATGTTAATGTTTGCCACAAATAGTATTGTGAAAGGGGATTAGGTGAAATTAAAGAGATTTCTTGATTATTGGACATAAAATACAGTTTTGTAATACTTCTCAAATACAGATGGTCATGGAGTCTTTCTCTTGCGGTATAATACTTCTGATAAAGCAAATATTCTTTGGAATATAGTTTAAGAGACACTGCTTTAGAGATAGTAATTTAGATCATTAATTAATGTAAAAAACTTAAAATATTTGCTACTGTGTCTTAGGGTTTTAGGCCCTTGCCTCAAGAAGCTCTTGGTTTCAGTGGGAAACAATGAAATGACTACAATGTACCATGATAAGTGCTGTGATCAAAGCAAGGATTCTTGGGACTAGTAAATGTTTAAAGTGAGTTTTGGCAATGACCACAGTTAATCCAGGGAGACAGAGGAGGGTTGTTTGCAAGGCAAAGCACAGCACATCAGAAAGCACAGAGGAGTGAGAATGAAGGGACTGCTTTTCATTTACTTCCTTTCTATATTGTATGTTGAAGTTCAAAGCATCCTGGAGAAGATTTTCAGTTCAGTTGAGAAATATGTAATTTTGTGAATTATTAATTTTTTCTGCTGTTTTATAGGACAATAATACCCCACTTTTATTTGCTATAATTTGCAAGAAAGAGAAAATGGTGGAATTTTTATTGAAAAGGAAAGCAAGTTCACATGCCGTTGATAGGCTGAGACGGTACAGTAGTTCTTTTTTTAAAAATAAAACCTGAGTATTCTAGAGTGGTCACTCAAGTCAGAAATATTAATAAGAAGATTAACATAATTATTGGCATATAATGAAAAATATCACCATGAATAATCAGGTAGACAAGCAAATATTTGGACTGAGTAACATAAAGAATAGTATATAGTAGGATTCATCTTCTCTTATAATATACAGAGTTTGGTATTTATAATCAGATGTTTTTCGTACTGTAATCTTTTATTAGCTAAAGGGTTTTGTATTAGTTTTATTAATTTTTTTTTTTTTTGAGATGGAGTCTTGCTCTGTTGCCAGGCTGGAGTGCAGTGGTGTGATCTCAGCTCACTGCATTCTCCACCTCCCAGGTTCAAGCGATTCTCCTGCCTCGGCCTCCCAAGTAGCTGGGACTACAGGTGCACGCCACCATGCCCAGCTAATTTTTGTATTTTTAGTAGAGATGGGATTTCACCATGTTGGCCAGGATGGTCTTGATCTCTTGACCTCGTGATCTGCTCTCCTTGGCTTCCCAAAGTGCTGGGATTACAGGCATGAGACACTGCACCTGACAAGTTTTATTCATTTTCAAAGTGTGGACTTTTAGTTTATGACTACTAGCATTGTCATTATTATTATTGTTGTTGTTGTTGTTTTCAGCCTGCAGATAACTCTTATCTGACCCCTAGCTGATTTGACTAGGAAAGCAATGGGGAAATCTTCATCTAAATCTTTGCCTACTTTAGATAAGTGACCTCAGCACAGTTTCTTGGCCATCAAAGGACTATAAGTTAGCAACTTGTATTATGTCTTACCCCAGTGGGACAAGAGGCTTCCCTGTTGTCCCTTTCTTTTAGCCTTGGTGACAATTTACAAAGATGAACACTTGAGCACCCTAGATGCTTATAGACCCAAGCTAGTACATGCAAATAGTTATTACATCTATACTGACAGGCGGATATTAAACTGGTAAAGTGTATCAAACTAGCTTTTTAAAAAAGTCTTTATTAAAGTTCTTGAGTGGAGTTATTTCTTTGTTGTTTTAGGTCAGCTCTCATGCTTGCTGTATACTATGACTCACCAGGTATTGTCAATATCCTTCTTAAGCAAAATATTGATGTCTTCGCTCAAGACATGTGTGGACGAGATGCAGAAGATTATGCTATTTCTCATCATTTGACAAAGTAAGTGTTTATGTTAAAAGGCCAGTTAATGCTAAATTGAAGTTTAAAATAATTGCAACTACTCCATCTTATGCATTAGGTGAGAGTTCATAGTTTGGTTCAGATAGTTTGAAATAGCGAAGAGTTAGTCTACCTTTTAGCCAGAAATCAAGCAGAAGTCTAGATTAGTTAGAAGTAGAGTGCGAGATTTTTTCTGGATTTTTGAGACATTTATCCCTAGGGATCTCAATGTTATTCATTTTATTCTAAGTATAATCCCCATGCATGGGATAAAAAGAGCCATGTCTTTGATTTCTTTTCCTTTCCTTTCCTTTTTTTTTTTTTTTTTTTTTTTTTTGTAGAGACAAGGTCTCACTCTGTTGCCCTGGCTGGTCTTGAACTTTTGAGGTCAAGTAATCCCCCTGCCTCGGCCTCTGAAAGTGCTAGCCACCATGCCTGGCCTGACTTTTCTAATTAGTTATTGAGTCTTGTAATGTCCAGTTTAACAGAAAATCTTGTATTGTCCCCTGGGGCTCTCTCCTGTGTCTTCCTTCTTTGAATTTTCCAAGAAGCTAAGGGGTTTCCTAAGTCCAAGGAAGGCAATCTTTCTTTACAAGTCAGAAGAAGGGGAAAAAAGGCCATTCTAATCATTCTGTTGTTTCCATGGACTCACTTGCTGTATTATTGCCATTATAACCGGTCCTGCAATCTGATAATGATTGACCTTTGCCACCAGGATGCCTTCACTGATTCAGACCCCTCAGTTTTCATGGTGATTCATATATAGAGGTCAAAGCTACGGTGTTTATTAGTTTATGTACTTGTGCTCAGTCATTGTTCCCAGCACCCTGCTCTGGCAGCTAGGCCTCCTAGCTTTATCCACACAAATATTGAGCAAGTTGATGCTCACCCTACACTAAAAACCTTATTTGGAGCCCACGTCTTAGCTAGACTTTGCCTAGGCCTTCGTGGTATGTTATCCTTTGAGAGCCATGTTTGTCTTTCCTTTAACCAATATTAGTTGGGATTGTTCTCAATAGTCAGGGATGTTCAAATAATGTTGCAGGAAGAGATCAGAGTTCCCTGTCTCTTTTGCTATCAGATCTGTACCTTGAGGCTTTTTTATATCCTGTGCAGCAGCTTTGGTTAGATAGCGGAATGTTCCATGTTATCTTTCCACTGAGTAGTGGGAACCAGCTTGCAGTTGGCCCCTCAAGTAATGTGTCTCTATAATCATGAAAATCTCCTGGGCTACTTGCAGCTCTTCCTCAAGTTTTCAATATATTTTAAAATTCTACCTCACAGGAAGCCATTCAATAAAATTCTCTGAATCTGAAGTAAGTGAGTTGGATTTAATAGAGCTAAGCCTCATCCATGACTCATGAATATCCATGTATCAAACAGGGCTTTGTACTTATTTCAACAGCACATATTTTAAAATTGGATCAATACAGAGCAGATAAGCATGGCTACTGCCTAGGGATGGCACACAAATTCAGAAAACATTCCATATTTTGCCTAGTCCCAGGAAGGCCATTTGACTATTTGTTGAGTAGCTCCAAGGAAGCAGTGTGAGCAAAACCAAAACAGGTGACACGCAATATTGAAATTGTGATTATCGCTATGAAACTATTGATGTATGGTGATCTCTGAAATGGGAACAGAGCTGAGTAATAAGGGGATGTTACATGTTGTTAGTACATGTCTTGGAAATGAGAAAATGTCAACTTGTATTTCCTTCATGGAACTGAAAAACAATCAAAGCAGGGTTTTGTCTTGTCTGTTAGTTGGAGAGGACCATGGAGATCCAGCAGCCAAGCACAGATCTGCTGGCTCAGAGTTTGAGGAGGTAGAGAAGGAGTGGTAGTTGTCCAAGCCAGGTTTTGACACCTATTAGTTTTCTGCCCTTGGTGTGATTGATGAGCTCAGTGATGAGCTCACTAAATTTATATATATAGAAATTTAGTAATAAGTTATGAATTAGGTAAAATGCCCTGAATTACAAGCCACAATGAATACAAGTAATAACCAAAATTAGCACTTAATAACATTTTCTGAAAACTGCAACATTTGAGTATTAGAACTTACAGAAAAACACACACCGAGCATTATTTGGGATTCCAAAATGGTTTCAGCAATAAAGTTCAAGAATAAATTATTCCATTGCTTTACTATTTCTCTGAACATATAAACATGTAATCTCATTACATCTTCCAAACAACCTAGTGAAGTAAGGTAGCAGAATCCTTGTTTTTTAGAAGAAACCATGGAGCCTAAGAGAAGCAACTTGTCTGAAGACAAAATACCTACAGAGCGAGGTATTTTGGTTACAGAGCAAGGACTTACTCTGAGTGCAGGACACTTTGCATGATATCCAGCTAACTAGAGTTCATTTACTGAGCTGTGCTTCCTCCATTTATGAGTACTTCACTTTCTTTTCTTCTTTAATTATAAGCTTAATAAGCTTGTAAGGTTTACAAATTTGAAGTGTATGGGACATTAAAATTCTGATATTAGGTCTGATATTGCTTGAAAGTGTTTTGGAATTTAATATGTTTGGTGAATATTTTTTATTTCATTATAAAAATGGCAATTTTATTTATTACTTTTGTATACATAGAATTCAACAACAAATTTTGGAACATAAAAAGAAGATACTTAAAAAGGAGAAATCAGGTAAGACTTCTGATTGTGAATTTCTTACTTGTCTTGGTGGTCCTACTCTTGATAAAATACAAAGTAAGATGTAAGATTAAGGTAGTTTCAGTCAAAAAAGACCAGTTTAAAAATATGTGTAAATTGAATGTGTATATATGTATATACATATGTAAATTAATTTTTAAAATTTAACTTCTTTAGTTTGAAATTCAGATTTATTTAAGAAGGTAGTTGTAGCTAATTTACAATCTCAAACATTATTGTCTGAAAACATTCATTTATTTAATTATGATCCCTAAAATCCTATATAATATTTTTGCATAAATAAGAAAAAAGATTTTTAAGTTAGTATGTTGTATGTTTCCTCTATAGTCACATTATAACAAATTGGACTTGTTATACAAATGGATCTTCGATTTCATTTTTATAATAAATTGTTTATATTTAGTAAACAAATAACTACAGTTGACCCATGAATAATGTGGGGGTGAGGGACTCTGATCCCTGTGCAGTTGAAAATCTGAGTATAACTTTTGATTCCTTCACCTTAGCTACTAATAGCCCACAATTGACTGGAAGCCTTCCTGATAACATAAACAGTTGATGAACACCTATTTTGTTTTTGCTGCATTATTATATACTGTGTTCGCACAATAAAATAAGCTAGAGAAATGAAGCTGTTAGAAAGGAAATCATCAGGAGAAACATATTGACTTTTCATAAAGCATAAGTAGTCCTGACAAAGGTCTTCATGATCTTCAGGTTGATTAGGCTGAGGAGGAAGAGGAGAGGTGGATCTTGCTGTCTCTCTGTTGCAGAGGCAGAAGAAAATCTGCATATAAGTGAATCCCTGCAGTTGAAACCCTTGCTGTTCAAGGGTGAACTGTATTACATATTGATTTGTGTCACTAAGAAAGTAACTATCTTTAGAACCAGGAACTCAGCAATCCCTTTCTGGTACCATAAATAAATGGCAATAAGAACTGTAGAACTGAACCAGTGTGCACCCATACAAATAGGAGATTATTTTTTGAAGACAGCTACTGAGCACAGGAGACGGAAAAGCAATTCCTTTGTGAGAAGCACAAGTTATATTACATATTCGTACACAAGCAAAATGATTTTATCTGTCATAGTTTACATACATACACATACACACGTGCACATGTGCACACACCTGTGCACACAGACACAAAGTTAAAAGTCCTGCTTATTCTTAATGACCAAATCCAACTGTTCACAGAGAGCGGTGGATAACGCATCCTACTGTTTGGATGCAATTCTTTTGACTTTTTGACTTGTTTTGTGATGAACTGCCTTTAATGGGTTTAAATCATGTTTTCAGTTTTATGAGAAATGAAGAAAAAGATTAGAAGCAAGTAAACAGGAACTCTATGGTCAGTAGTAGACTATAATAGTATATTCAATAGTCATATGTTTTTCTCCAGTTACACAATTTACTTGAATGATGCACAATTAATCAATTATTATTATCATAGGAGATGGGGTCTCTCTATGTTGCCTAGGCTAGAATACAGTGTCTATTCATTGGTGCAATCATAGCTCACTGTAGCCTTGAACTCCTGGGCTCAAGCAGTCCTCCTACTTCATCCTCCTGAGTAGCTGGGACTACAGTTTTGTGTGGTTACATCTGGCCTGATACACAATTATTTATTTGTTTATTTATTTTTAATACAGGGTCTCCCTCTGTTGTCAGTACTGGTGTGCAGTGGTGTCATCTTGGCTCACTGCAACTTCTGCTTGCTGGCCTTAAATGATCCTTTCACCTTAGCCTCCCAAGTAGCTTGGACTACAGGCATGCACTACCACACTTGGCTAATTTTCTTTTTAAGGGATTTTTGTTTGTTTGTTTGTTTAATAGATGAGGTCTCACTATATTGCCGAGGCCGGTCTGGAACTTCCGGGCTCAAGTGATCCTCCTGCCTCAACCTCCCAAAATGCTCGGATTTACAAGTGTGAGCCACTGCACCTGGCCTTCAAAATTATTATAAAAAGGAATGAAGCCCAGTTGAGTTGCAGAAAATTGACCACTTTTTCATTTTTTTTCTAGAAACATTCATATTGTAGAACATATTGTCAATCACCCAGATTCTCTATTTTTTATTCAGATAAAAGAGGATTGCTGCTCATTTCACATTATTTTCTGACATTATTTTTTCATTTATTCCTTCTATGGCTTTATTCAATTGGATAGATATAGAAATACGAGAATCTCCAAGTCAAATATCAAGGCAAAAAAAGAAAAGAAAAACAGATTAGGTAAAGTTATTCTGTGAAATAACCATCTGATTACAGTTACACGTATCATATCAACTTAATACAAATCTTACACAATGAATTTGTGTCAAGGTTTCCCAAGACCACCCCAGGTTTGGTGGTTCATTAGAAGGACTCACAGGACTCAACAAATAGTCATACTCAGATCTTTAATTGATAACAAGGAAGGGGACAAGCAAAATTAGTAGAGGAAAAAGGTGCATGTGGTCAATTCTGGAGGAAACAAGGCACAAGCCTCCAGGAGTTCTGTCCTGTGGAGTTCCCGGGATCTGCTTAATTCTCCCAGGCTCACATTTTGACAACATATGTGCAGTGATGTCTACCAGTACCAGAGTTTCATTAGAGACTAAGTGCCCAAGTTTTTCTATGGAGGTTACTCTCCCTCACATGTACCCAAATTCCAGACTCTTACAAGGAAAGCAGCTGTTTAGAGTAAATACACTGTTTCTATAAGCACTTTAGACACAGTGAGCCACTCTTCTCAGGGAATGGTGGAAACCCTCCCATTTCCAATTTCCTAAACACCAGCCAAGGGCCAGCCTTGCATGCAGGCCTTTCTAAGGATGGCAGCCTCTTGCCTGCTATATGAAATCTTTTCTGCACAACACTTGTAACCCCAACTTAATTTTTGGTGTTGTTTTAAAATTTCATTTTAATAACATAATATTATAAGATAAGGTAACTTGGTACTAATTTCTGTTGTATGATCCATCTTAAGTTGCAGTGCTTGTTACTTTTTTGACTTTTGGTGATGAACAGCTATTTGTATATAAGTTACCATAGCAATGTTAGGTAATTATAATCTGTCCTATTTATCTCATTAACCTTTCAGTAAAATTGTTAAATTAAATAAGCAAAATAATTTCTGAGTTAACATTAGAATAAAAATTGTCTTTTATTTTGATTACATGAATAGTCTAGTTTTCATATTGTGCTAAATCCCTGTTTAGAATTATGAAATAAGATAAAATATTCAATTATTTTTATCAATATTTTCTTACCTAAGCATGCAATTAAATTTATTTATTTTATATATTTTATATAGTTCAATTTGAGAAGTAATGACCACATGTTGTTACTTTGGTCTTCAATGATCTCTAATTTTTAGGGTCACCGTGTCTTGCTTAAATATATCATAGTAACAGGTTCAGTGAATATCTTTATTTTTTATTTTATTTACTTATTTTTTTGAGACGGAGTTTTGCTCTTGTTGCCCAGGCTGCAGTACAATGACATAATCTTGGCTCATTGCAACCTCCACCTCCCAGTTTCAAATGATTCTCCTGCCTCAGCCTCCTAGGTACCTGGAACTACAGGCATGCACAATCATGCCTGGCTAATTTTTTGTATTTAGTAGAGATGGGGTTTCACCATGTTAGTCAGGCTGGTCTCGAACTCCTGACCTCAGGTGATCCACCTACCTCGGCCTCTCAAAGTGCTGGGATTACAGGCATGAGCCACTGCCCCCAGCCATTTATTTATTTATTTATTTATTTATTTATTGTAATTGTTCTGGAGATCCTGGGATGCATAGACAGTGAATATCTTTTTGTTTTTTGAGATGGAGTCTCACTCTGTCTCCCAGGCTGCAGTGCAGTGGTGCGATCTCAGTTAACTGCAACCTCCACCTTCTAGGCTCAAGCGATTCTCCTGCCTCAGCCTCCTGAGTAGCTGAAATTACAGGTGCCAGCCACCATGCCCAGCTAATTTTTGTATTTTTATTAGAGACGAGGTTTTGCCATGTTGGCCAGGCCGGTCTTGAACTCCTGACCTCAGGTGATCCACCCATCTTTGCCTCCCAAAGTGCTGAGATGACAGGCATGAGCCACTGAGCCCAGCTGAATATCTTTTTTTAAATCAATAACCTTATTTCTTAGAGCAGTTTTAGGTTCACAGCAAAATTGAGAGGAAGGTACAGAGATTTCTCATATATCCCATGCCTCCCACACATGCATAGCCTCCCCCATTATTACTATTTTCCACCAGAGAGTGGTACATTTGTTACAACTGATGAACTTACATTGACACATTATAATCATTCAAAGTTCATAGTTTACATCAGGCTTCACTCTTGATGCTGTACGTTCTGTGAATTTGGACAAGTGTATAATGACATGACATGTATCTATTACTGTAATATTATCGACAGAACAGTTTCACAGCCCTAAAAATTCTCTGTGCTATGCCTGTTCATCTTTCCCTTTCTCCCTAGTAACTCGTGGCAACCATTGATGTTTACTCTGTCTTCATAGTTTTACTTTTTTCAGAAGAGTCACATAGTTGGAATAATACAGTGGATATCTTTTTGAATAGTTAAAAAATTAAAGCTCCATGGCAGTTGAATGTAGTCATTTAAGATGTTCTTTGTCCTTTTGTTTTTCTTTTGCTTCTTTATCATTGTAAAGAATGATATATTCTGATGACATATGCTTTACATACTTAGAAAACATGATTTGTATAGATATGTGCACATAATAGAAAGGGTTGAGGAAAAGGACACCATGCTGTACCACACAGCACAAACTGGAGCATCTTGCTCTGTGAGGTGGGTCCAGATAGATTCTCTAGCAATGGAAGGGGACAAGTGCAAGGGGTTGTACTTTATAAAACTGGAATCACAAAGTCTTTCATACTTACCTTCGGTTGGAAATAAGACCAGACAGTGAATGCTATAGGTAAGTACATAGGTTCCTCACTGATCCTCTTCCTTTGAGGGATGAGGTTGACAACAGCCTGTATTATGATGATGTGACTCACCTACAACTAGATTCTGTCATGAGGGATAGCAAGAGAGTTTTGCTTTCTGTGAGGTGAAAAAGAATTTTTTTCCCCTACTAGGGAGAAGGGCAAGCACTGGAACATTCTGGTAGTAAAAGGGCATTGATGGTTTTCTTTCTATATATTTTTCACATCATATAGTACTGTCCAGCAGCCTGCCACACCTCCCTGGTGTTTCTTCAGCTTCTCTCTGAATGTGAGGTGTGGTTCCTAGCGTATAAGCTCTTAAAGGAGTGATCTTTCCAGTGGTTTTTCTGTGGGAGGTAAAATGGCAGGTGAATTTGGGCCTTGCTATATGTAGGGCAGAGCAAATAGCTACAACTAAGTAAACCACCCAGCACCTTCCCCAAAGAGTAGTAGCCAGAGTAATACATTGATCTCTTTTGAGCTCTTTTCCACTAGCGGCTGGAAAGTCTTTGCAAGGATTCCTGTTTCTGGTCGGATTCCTATGTTTTGCTGACATCTGGTGTTAGGGTGTTTTATTCTAAACTGAGCAGTTTGAACTGAAGAGCTAGAGAGGCTGTGTTGTGTTATAACAAAATAAGTGCAGTAGCTCCCCCTTAACTGTGGGAGATACATTCCAAGACCCCCAAGTGGATGCATGAAACCATGAATAGTACTGAATCACAAACTGTTTTTCCCTATACATACATATCTATGCTAAAGTTTAATTTATAAATTAAATTGAATCTGATGTTACCAGCAGATAAGGTGTGAGAATTGAATTGTGTCATCAGCAGGAATGATTGCTTGCTTGTTGGTGGGGAAAAACCCTCCACACATTTGGTCACAGAAGCCTTCTTTGTTGATGATTGTTGCTGTGGTGTGACAGTAGAGAAAAATGTGTCAAGTATGTCTTTCTGCACGTATAGTGGATAAGGGGTACTACTGTGTACTCTGTTTTAATGGCGCCTCATATTTTGGTCCA
This sequence comes from Homo sapiens, assembly GCF_000001405.40. Lineage (NCBI taxonomy): Eukaryota > Metazoa > Chordata > Mammalia > Primates > Hominidae > Homo > Homo sapiens. Next base: position 40,241,175 of record NC_000009.12, read on the forward strand.
GAAATCATGCTCTTTGACACTGGTGACTCATCACACCTGTTCTGCTAACAATACCATTTTTACTCAACCTCATAGGGTTTGGCTAAGATGACTTGCATACTGCAGTTCACTTGTAGATACCAAATTTTAATAAATTTATTCTTCTTTGCATCTAATAAATACAAAGGGAAGAGTTCTTACTGCATTAATTACCTACCAATATGTATAACGAATGTTAATTCTAATAAGGTCCCAGGCATGCTCCCAAAGGAATGCTTTGTAACAAAGCATCAGTCTTATGCTTTAAAAAACCAAACCAAAACAAAACAAAAACAACAACAACAAAAAACAGGATCTAAAGCATACATACAAGTGTGCACAATTTTTTTATGAAGGTAGAGTCTTACTATGTTTCCCAAGCTGGTCTCAAACTTCTGGGCTCCTCAAGTGATCCTCCTGCCTCAGCCTCCCAAGTAGTTTGGATTAGAGGGATGCATCACTGTGCATTCTTATGCTTTTAATATTCTGTACATTTGTTATTGATTTAAAATGCATTTTACCTTTTTCTTTAATAGATGTTGGAAGTTCTGATGAATCTGCAGTCAGGTAGGATTTTATAGATTTAAAAAATTATGTTAACTAAGAAAATATAGATGGAAGAAACGAATATCTGTTGAGTGTTGTATTCTGGGCTAGACATCCTAATATGTTCTATGCGTTTATCATCTCATAAAGCCATCACAACATCTGTGTTCCTATAACCTACTGTTTATTAAATAAACAACTATGGATTAGAGCTGATTAATTGCCTCATGATCCCATAGTTAACAAAGTAGCTGGCCTACAGTTTGACCATCAGCCTGCCTGCCTTCCAAATCCTGTCTCTTGCTCCTCAGCATAGATTGACAGATATCTGTGCAGCCCTTGGATCAAGGTATAGGTCTGAATCAGATTAGTCAGATTGATTAATTTGATTAATGTCTAAATTAATGAGAGTTTAAATACCTTGAACTCTCATTTAAGTTTATCATTAGAATGTGGTTAGTCCAAGAGTTTGTCCTAATAAATTTGACAATTTCAGTGGTAACCAGTATCTTATTTTTACCATCAAAGGCTCTAGGGCAGATCTTACTTAGCTTTGCCATAGGGGTGTAAGTTTTACAAAAGCAAGTTTAGGCAAGTCTTAGAGACAAATTATTTGACTTCCCAGTTTGGTTTTCCATTTAGGCAAGTATTTCTGCTTACTTCCATAATACATTTTTTAGTCTTGTTGCTTTTTCCGTGACTTTTCTATAATCTTGCCTTCATTTTTTAAAACTTTCTTCTCTGCTTTTCTTGGTATTTCTTTTGTTCTATTATTTTTTCAAACTCTGCTGGCTATGTATTCTAAGTTTTTCTATAGACAGAATCAAGAGGACATAGAATTACAGAATTTTAAGGAATCTTGGAATGAATTAAAATACCTTCTAGTATTTTTACCTGTGTTGAACATTCTGGTCAAATGATTCTCTAGATAGAGAATGTGAGGCTCAAAGAGTTTAGGATGCTTTTTTTTAGACATAGGAATTGGCAGAAATGAGATTTGAACTCATGTTAAAGCCCAGTACTCTTGCTTCTTTTTATATCCTATTGGCGTGTGTTTTAATAATACAAACGGGAGTGAGTCTGTGGGTAGAATGAGAATGGAATTAGCTGGGGAACCCAATGGAAGTAGATAAGAATGGAATGAGCAGGGGAAGTCCAAGTTTGAAGATAAACAACACTGGATTGGATAGGAGTACAGACTCTTCTATAAGAGATCAAAATATTGGGGTTTATGACAAGTTTGATAAAGATAAATTATAAAAATGAAGGACACAAGATGTTGGGAATTATCTACGAAGGCACATTAAAATAGAAGGTTCAAGGGAGCTCTAAAAAGTTTGCTGCTTTTTTTTAAATCAAGGACTGACAAACTTGAAGATTTTTACTGAAAGATGCTAAAACATTTTGAGACACTGGGAGGAGCGTCTGCAGCAGATAGAAATGTGGTGTCATCTACTTCCATCCTGACTTAGAAAGGGGTGGCTTAGAGCCCCTGGAGTACTAAGGGGCTGGAGATTGCTGAACTACATAGATCTGTGGCCCAGTACAGGTGTCTCCTCACCTCTGCCTCTTTTCCCGATTCACTGATGTCCTTCCCATGTCCATGTGGGCTGGTTCAGGGGCATGATTGGCTGGCAAATCAGTCATGGAGTTCAGTTGGGTAGTTGGTAGTGTGTCTAGCTGGGGGCAGGTGATGGAGACTCCAGTTAGCTTGTTTTTCAGGAGCAGGGATATAGAGAGCTCCTAGTCCTGGTCATTTGAGGCCATCCTTTCAGGAATCTGTGCTTTCATAGACTGAAGATTTAAAGATTGGAGACTTCTGTGGAGCCCTGCAGAAGTGGAATCTGGAAGTGGGAGCCCATAGGAAGACAGATACTTAGAGAGTACTTAGGGAAATAGAGGTACACCTACCAGGACTCTGTTTTTTTCTGACAGTCTCTCTCCTTGGGTGTCTGAGTGCCTATGAAAAGTTTTAAGGGCTTGCTAGTTTATGTGGACCTGAATAAGGTAGGACCTATAGGGTGAAAATAATGGGATTTTATAATTGTTAATATTTCAATCTTTCTGGGAAAAGTATTCTCAATAAGAACATACACCTTTGTTATTTGACTTCTGTACATTTAGCTTTCATACATTTCAAATATTGTAGGGGCTTTCCTGTACTGATTTAGGGCAAAGGAAAGCAATAGGACCTTCCTAAGTGGGTTCCATGCTGAGGAATCAAGACTGCCATATTGAAGTGATGCAGATTAGTCTTTTATCCAGAGACAGATCATGGAAAAGAGACAGTGGATCTTTCTACCTTGTTTTAGGTTATTAGTTTTCTTCCAGTTTAGGTAACAAAATTTATGTCATCCATTAATTGAATTTTAAGTTCAGCTTCAGGACAGATAATTTGTGAGGGCAAATCATTGTCAGGCTCTGCCAATTTATTGACTGTCACTATTTGTTATAAAGCTCAAGGTTAGTTTTCATTGAATATTTTATAGATTTAGACAAGTGGAGGCAGAAATAGGTAACTAAAATCTATTTTTAGAAGAGGACATATTTTAATTATATCAAGAATCACTATTTAATATATAGATTGCTGACCTTTCCCTAGATTATGGTTTCCTTTTTTGAGGGGGAAGCTGGATATAAACTGGCAGTTAAAAAAATTGTAAAGAAATCAACTTGCTCATTTTCGTTGTGTGTTTTTGCTCTCAAGCATTTTCCATGAACTGCGTGTGGATTCATTGCCTGCATCGGATGACAAAGACTTGAATGTTGCTACTAAGGTAAAGTGGTCTCTTGTAAAATTAATTTTCTCACTCTGAATGTACTTTTGCATAGTATTTACTTTTCAAATTTAGCAGTGGTTTACCTATCATTGTTTTATGGTGGTAATGGAAAGTTGGTCAGAGAAAAACATACATATGGCTAGTTGATTCAAAAAATGTGTTTAACTTTGGTAACTAACAAAGATTGATAAGTACTGTGACAGGGTGGGAGCTGAAAAAAAATGAACTGGAAAATTAGTAGTGACAGGAAAATCACATTAGGAAATGCTTTCTCCAATAGAGGAAATATGAAATTTGCTTAAGGTTTATTTGGATAAATACTAATACTTTGACTTTTAAATCATACGAGTGTGACTTTCTTAATATTTATGCCTGTATAAATCTTCAGTGGATCAAATTATTTGCAGTAATCATGGGATCCTCCTGGTGATTTTTAGTGGCAAGAATATTCAGCACATAGCATATAGCTTTTGTTCTTGGAAACTTATTATTTTGGTATCATATTGTTTTTACGAGAGATTGTTTTTCTACTTATATTATTGGTTCTGTAGTGAGACAAAAAAAAAATAAAAATTGTAGAAAAATAACTGAGTGTGGTGGTGTACACCTGTAGTCCCTGCTACTTGGGAATTTGAGGCAGGAAGATTGCTTGAACCCAGGAGTTTGAGAACAGCCTGGGCAACATCGTATCTGATTTAAAAATATAAATTGTGGAAATATAGAAATTTAAATTTATGTTCTCAAAATGTGTATTGCAAAGGAATTTTTGTGTGGTTTATGAGTTGTCCATGAAGAGTTTATATAAGGCACTTCATCTAATTGAATAACATGTATTTTGCTGCAAATAACCAGTTCTAGAAGCAGAGACTCTTAATACCAATGGATGGTAAGACTTTATCCTCATAATTTTGTCATTGTAGTTTATTTAAAATATTTACTTCACCAGGTGTGGAGACTCACCTGTAATCCCAGCAGTTTTGGAGGCCGAGGTCGGTAGATCACCTGAGGTCAGGAGTTCAAGATCAGCCTGGCCAACGTGGTGAAACCCTGTCTCTAAAAAAAACCAAAACCAAAACAAAACAAAACAAAACAAAAGCAGAAAAATTAACCAGGCGTGATGGTGCATGCCTGTAACCCCAGCTGCTCAGGAGGCCAAGGTGGGAGAATCGCTTGAACCCGGGAGGCGGAGGTTGCAGTGAGCCAAGATCGCACCATTGCACTCCAGCCTGGGTGACAGAGCAAGACTACATCTTAAAAAATAAAATAGCCACTCAAAGTCCTCATATCATATTCTGAAATTTTGAATTTCAGAAGGTTTTCTATTTAGTTGTTTAAATAATCATTGGAAGCTCCTGCATACCGTAAGCTACTGGAGGTCAGTAAACATATTTGTGTGTATCCTGGAGTACCTAGAATACAGTCTTCCATGTAAGAAGCATTTTAGTTGTTGTTTTTTGAGATGGGGTTTCACTCTGTCCCCCAGGCTGGAGGGCACTGGTGAGATCTTGGCTCACTCCAATCTCCATTTCCTGGGCTCAGGTGATCCTCACACCTCAGCCATCCAAGTAGTTTAAACAATAGAGCTATGTCACCATAGACCTGTGTCACCATGCTCAGCTGAGTTTTGTAGAGACAGGGTTTTGCCTTGTTGCCCAGGCTGGTCTTTAACTGTTGGGCTCAAGTGTTCTGCCTGCCTCAGCCTCTCAAAGTGCTGGGTTACAGGCATAAGACATTCAGCCTTAATAGTTGTTTAATCTGAATAAATAGACAAATGAATTTTTATATAATGGAATGTTATAAGTAATATAATAAACCTAATGTATCTAATAATTAAATATTGTATTTAAAATATTGCTTACATTGTATTTTTTAATATTTAAGGGTGTATAAGTTTTGATATGTTATGTTGAGAAATTATGCCATAATTAAAAAGGAAATAAAATAGAAATAGGTCATCAGTAGAAAATAGGGTTACAATATATTTTCTAGTATCATTCAACTGGAATCTTAACATTGAGATTTTAGATTAACATTTCTTAAGCTTTTTATTAGCTCTAACTCATGTTCTATTAAATATACGTTTTCAAGCCATACATTACTCTTTATTATTCTTATACTGTAAGTTCTAGGGTACATGTGCACAATGTGTGGGTTTGTTACATGTGTATACACGTGCCATGTTGGTGTGCTGCACCCATTAACTCATCATTTACATTAGGTATATCTCCTAATGCTATCCCTCCCCCCTTGTCCGCCCCACGACAGGCCCCAGTGTGTGATGTTCCCCATCCTGTGTCCAAGTGTTCTCATTGTTCAATTTCCACCTATGAGTGAGAACATGCAGTGTTTGGTTTTTTGTCCTTGCGATAGTTTGCTCAGAATGATGGTTTCCAGCTTCATCCATGTCCCTACAAAGGACATGAACTCATCCTTTTTTATGGCTGCATAGTATTCCATGGTGTATATGTGCCACATTGTCTTAATCCAGTCTATCATTGATGGACATTTGGGTTGGTTCCAAGTCTTTGCTATTGTAAATAGTGCCGCAATAAACATACGTGTGCATGTGTCTTTATAGCAGCATGACTTATAATCCTTTGGGTATATACCCAGTAATGGGATGGCTGGGTCAAATGGTATTTCTAGTTCTAGATCCTTGAGGAATCACCATACTGTCTTCCTCAAAGGATGAACTAGTTTACAGTCCCACCAACAGTGTAAAAGTACTCCTATTTCTCCACATCCTCTCCAGCACCTGTGGGTTCCTGACTTTTTAATGATCGTCATTGTAACTGGTGTGAGATGGTATCTCATTGTGGTTTTGATTTGCATTTCTCTGATGGCCAGTGATGATGAGCATTTTTTCATGTGTCTGCCATACGTTACTCTTTAGAATTCTGGTGACCAATTTTTTTCTGGGTGGAAAGTTGATTGAAAGTTCTAGTTTTCTCTCTGTGTTATAATAATGTTCTTTCAGGTAGTGGTCGATGACCATATTTAGCTAATTGAATGTCTTATAGTAATAAACTATATCACAGAAGTACTTACAAAAAACTAATTGTAGCATAAATATTAATTAGTATTATCAGGGATATGAAAGAGCAAAAGGCTCTGTTATAGATCTATTTCCCCATGTACTTTATTGTACTTCATGTTGTCTCTTTTCTTTCTTGGCTTAAGCTCATATTTCATTGACCAATTAGGCTTGTTTTTTGTTTGTATCTCTCTTCATTCTCATATTTTAAATTGAAATTTTTGGGGAGTCAGGGTCTTGCTCTGTTGCCCATGCTGCAGTGTAGTGGCATGATCTTGGCTCACTGCAGTATCCACCTCTCAGGCTCAAGTGATCCTCCCACATCAGCTTCCCAAGCAGCTGGGACTACAGGCGCACACCATCATGCCTGACTCCTTTTGGTATTTTTTGAGTAGAGATGTGTTCTCATTATGTTGCCCAGGCTGGTCTCAAACTCCTGAACTCAAGCAATCCACCCACCTTGGCCTTGCAAAGGGCTGAGATTACAGGTGTGAGCCACCATGCCTGGGCAACATTGAGATTGATTTAAAGAAATTGATTAGGGCTGGGTGTGGTGGTGCACACTGCTTATCTCAACACTTTGGGGGGCAGAAGTGGAAGATTTACTTGAGCTCAGGAGTTTGAGACCAGCCTGGGCAGTATAATGAGGCCTTGTCTCTGCAAAGATAACAATAAAAACATTAGCATGGCATGAAGGGACGCACCTGTAGTTCCAGCTATTCAGGAAGTTGAGGTGGGAAGATTGCTTGAGGTCAGGAGTTTGAGACAACAGTGAGCCATAATCAGGCCCCTGCATTCTAGCCCTGGGTTGACAGAGTGAGACCCAGTTTCATAAAAAGAGATTGATAAGAAACTCTTGATGCAACTCATTATAATTTTAAAATGGAAACTAATTCTTGATATTACCTTAGCAGTGTGTCCCCGAGAAAGTGTCAGAGCCTTTACCTGGATCTTCGCATGAAAAAGGAAACAGAATAGTCAATGGACAAGGAGAAGGTGAGAACCGTATTTTATTTAAAAAGTCTTTTGATGGAGGCCGGGTGCGGTGGCTCACGCCTGTAATCCCAGCACTTTGGGAGGCCGAGGCGGGCGGATCACGAGGTCAGGAGATCCAGACCATCCTGGATAACATGGTGAAACCCCATCTCTACTAAAAATACAAAAAACTAGCCAGGTGGTGTTGTGGGCGCCTGTAGTCCCAGCTACTCAGGAGGCTGAGGCAGGAGAATGGCTTGAACCCGGGAGGCGGAGCTTGCAGTGAGCGGAGATACCACCACTGCATTCCACCCTGGGCGACAGAGCGAGACTCCGTCTCAGAAAAAACAAAACAAAAAAAGTCATTTGATGGAATGTTTCTTTGAAAATATGAGCACTAATAGAGTGTAATAGCTAAAGAAAGTGTCCTATTAACTGTATAATAAGTAAAGGAGAAGTGAAATGGTGATAAGTTGTGTCTCTAACCAAGGGTCAGCAGTTGATTCTATTGGGAGTACCACTAAAGGAGCTGAATTGTGAGTTCCATTTTAAGATACTCTAAGACCTGAGGCAAGTCAGGAGAGAGGGAAGAGGAAATGAATAAAGAGAAAGAAAGAATGAGGAGAGCGGATTGTACATGGAATAAATAAAAAAGCATATGCAGAGGTAAGTAAGAGAGGATAGTAAAGGCAAATTGATCTGTAGAAGAAGGAAGAACATGGTGTTAGAAACAGGAAAGAAGATAAAGTGAGCTTCCAGTACCAAAATGTGTCAGAGAATTACAGTAACATTTTCCTTCTCTTGCTGTCATCCTCGCTACTGGGGAGGCATTAAGGATTGAGGCACCTCACCACACAGACCTGTGTTTTATCTACCATAGATGAACATCACCAAAGATGGTCAGCCATGTATGGCTATAATTTGTTTTTATAGAAAATGTTGTAACCTCATAGGATAGTATCATATAGGCCAAATTAACATAATTGAATAGTGTTGGGTGATTTATGGAGAAGAAATTAATTCAAGAAGTTATTGCCTGATTAAAAGTTCATTAGAAACATTATGGCTTATAATGTAGTATTAAATTGAGGGACATAATAGGGAAGAAATTGAGGCTAGGCCAAAAGGGCAATTAGGGGAAACCAATATGGAAGCACATCAGTGTAGAACAGGGCATTCAAATTGTCATGAATGAGTTGAAGAGCTTCTGGAAGGTGCACATTCTGATTCAGCAGGTATGGGAGTCTGCATTTCTCATGAGTACTCAGGTGATTTTTGGTGCTGGTCCTTGGACACAGCTCTGAATAGCAAGGGAATAGCCTTCCTTTAGAGAACTCTGGAAAAAGAACCATTGGAGAGCAATTTAAAAAATAACAGAATCCAGGGAAAGCATTAATTTCCTTTTATTTCTGAGCATGATTCTAGCCACAGGGGAAGGAGAATGAGATGAAAACAGAGAGATTACAGGTGTATACTACTGCTGAATACAGATGAAAAAAGTGGTCACAATTATCCATAAAAAGCAGTTAGGAAGGGAAGCATCAGGATGACAGTTCTAAAAATCACTGTTTCAAAGGAAGAGGGATTGTGAAAGGACACGGAGGGAGGAAAGAAAGACATTTGCTGGGGTCTTGGGAGTTGAAGCCAAGTAAACTTGAGACAACTCACTTCCAGTTGCTTCAGCATATGCCCAGTCTCACAAAAGAGGTTATTGCTGTGGAGAGTACTGGAGGCAGGAGGGAGTGCTAGAGTTGGGGTAAACCACAGCAGCTCATTTCACTTGATAACTGTCAGGCCTCAGAGAGAGAAGTTTCACTGACATGAGTGAATAAGATGTGATTAAGTTGCATATAGATGCTTTGGCTAATTTTTTTTGATATTACAAAATTCATTCTGTGAATACCAAAATTCTCTTTTTCAATAAATACTGCACTGATTTTGAAATATAAATATGTATTCATATCCAGCAAGTCTGTGGTAATTCAGTGTTTTCTTTTTTGATAAATATTTTGATATCGGAAGCTTATTCGACATGGTTTATTTTATGTGATCCTTGCATGAGTGGATCAAGGAGCTCTAACTCAAGGCCAAATGAGGGGATAGGAGAAATGTAGGTGCTGCAGTAGCCCATGTGATCATGGGAAAAATGAGTAGTTTGATTAGCTGTCATTTCATAAGTGTGTATACTAGCTGATCAATGTAGAACACTTTCTTTGATGAGAGGTGAATCACACATTCACCTGAACTGTCATCCCAACTGTGTATTTCCTCAGTGACAAGACAAGGGGAATTTGTTTGTGGCATGCTGGCAGCAATGCCTCTGCTGTGTTGAGTTAAAATACTCTGTACATTCACCATCAGCTTTGACGTCGATTCCCTCAGGTTTGATTTGCTCCTCTGTTTAATGGTCCCTTTTCTCCTCATCAGTCCACATGTTCACGGTGATATCCATGCTTTTCTATTTTAGGTATAGGCATTTGAAACATAATCTCACTACTGAAATGTAAACTGTGCATTTTAGGAATCCTATATTCCTATTTTCCTCATTATGTTTCTGTCATGTTGCCGTCCTAGGCAATGAAAAGATGCCAAGAAGAACCCTCAAAACCTTAAGTAATTATTTTTATAGCCAGGCATGAGAATTCAGCTCGATAGTACCACTGCATGAATGTTTGGTTGGCCCTGTCATACTTACATATAATTGATGACATATCCCCTTTGCTTTGTAGGGCCTCCTGCAAAACATCCTTCCTTGAAGGTAATTAATTATGTATATTTTTGAATCACTAACTCCATGTTGTATAAAATATATATGATTTATGAATCATTTTCTTTTAAAACCCATTCAGCCTAGCACTGAAGTAGAAGATCCTGCTGTGAAAGGAGCAGTACAAAGAAAGAATGTACAGACATTGAGAGCAGGTACATTTAATGGAATACTGGAAATAAGTACATTCAATGATTGGAAGTACTCACATTATTCTTATTCCTAATTCTATTTGTTCAAAATTGAATGGAAGGCATTGACATAAATGTTATTGTTGGTATCCATATTTGAATAAAAATAAATTTAGAAGCATAAAAAAGATTTTAAAAATGTAACCTTTAACTCAGATGTTTCTCTTTTAATGTTTTGAATAGCATGAAGTTTTCAGTATAAAATTTTTATACCTGTCAGGGATTCAAAGCAGTGAATTTTGAGACTCTAAGATATTTCCAATGAGTTAAGTGCTACTTGGAGTTCTGAACTTTACCTAGAGGAAAGCTTTACTTATTAACATGTCAGATTCTGTTTTAACTTTAGAGGCTTGCTGCTAGTGTTATTACACTGATGATCTGAAGCCAATCAGATGTTCTAATGAGCAAGACTGTGTGTGTAGGTGTATATATAGCTGTGTGTATGTGTGTGTTTGTGGCATCTTTGACTATTAAAAATGAGGAAAGTAATGATTCATTTATAACTGGTAGACACAGTCTTTTAAAATGGTGATTTTGAGACTTTTTGGTGTTAAGGTTTTTAAAACATGATTGCATAGAGGCTACCGACATCATAAGTTGGTTGTTTTTCATTTCAATGCCCTTTTGAAATCTTTAACTATATTGTGATGCTCAGAAATAATATGCAGAATTTTTTATTTGTGTCCCAAAATGGTATGTGAGTGGTTATACACTTTACATACCTTTCTGCCACTTTCTTTGGTGTATTTTGTATTATATTTTCCAGATATATCCACATTGATATGATTATCTCTGGTTTAATTCATTTTACACTTTTCATTGTATTCCCTTATACCACTTTACCACATTTAGTTAGACTCTCCTGTTGCTGATAAATGAAGAAAGAAAGAAAAATAAAAATAATGTCAGATTAAGTGGGCTTTTCTTTAATCAGTTTGTATCTATTAATATTTACTATATGAGAGTTTAAAGTTGAAAAGTTCAGAATACAAGCATGCACCACCATATTTTATAAATGCCCTTAGAACTGTGACTCATGAGCCTTTAGCCTATGAAGTTAGGACAATTCATTTCTCTGAAGAAGTTTGTTGTGCTGTTCTCAGAAAAGAAAACTGAAAATAGCAAATGATATTGTCTTATTTGACCTCTTGGACATCTTTGAATGAAACTGCAACTCCAGGGATACTCAGATCAAAATTCAGAAGTAATGTTTTGAACAATATAGTTTGTGAATGTCCAGTGGATCATGAGCCCTTGATGGGAAAATGACCTTTCAAGTTTCACTTTTGCATTTTTTGCTCTTTTCCTTGACTTGTCTTAAAAGCTTAAATTCAACCGTTTTATTTTTACAGAAACTGGGAATATAACTTTTAAAATTTATGTCTGTCCTGTCTCACGGTGTTGTGTACTCTTCAGATCTTGTGTGAATATAGACTTATGTGGGAACAATTAGGTGTTTTGTTTGTTTGTTTGTGTTTTTGAGACAGAGTCTTGCTCTGTCACCAAGGCTGCAGTGCAGTGGCTCGGTCTTGACTCATTACCACCTCTGCCTCTCGGGTTCAAGCAATTCTCCTGCCTCAGGCCCTCGAGTAGCTGATACTACCTGCATGTGCTACCATACCCTGCTAAATTCTCTATTTTTAGTAGAGATGGGGTTTCACCATGTTGGCCAGGCTGCTCTCAAACTCCTGATCTCAGGTGATCTGCCTGCCTCAGCTTGCCAGTATGCTGGGATTACAGGCAGGAGCCACTGTGCCAGGTACAAATAAGATTTTTAAGGCTATTATATTTTATACAATTCTTTGGTCTATGTGAATTCTGAAGGTATTCATGCATTGAGGGAAGATCATCTCAGTTTAATGAAAGCAGTTTTTAATGTATATTCATTAAAAATTTTTTTGAAGTTTTTGTCTCTAGTACAGAGAAACACACAATATTGTCATGGGTATTTGACCTTAATGTGTTTATGCACAAACTTAGTTATTCAAATATTTTCTTATCCCTGAAGAATCCTAATTATTAATAAAAAAATTTCTCATGGAAAACAACATATATAATAGAGATTGTTGAGTGATAAAGTAAATTGTAGTAAATAACAGAAGCTTAGAACAAGTTAAGTAAACTTGTCTGAGTTAATAGAAATTACAGGACTTTTAAGATACATTAGACCATGAGGGAGTAGTGTGTTTGTGGGGTAGAGGACATCATGGTCCTGCTTCAGTGAAGAAAGAACTTTTACACCTTATTACAATTTGTATTACTATTTACATTCTAATAAAAACTTTATTTTCAGATATTTTAGATTATGTTTCTACTAGTTGAACCATCAATAGTAAGACTTTTCAAAGATTTGGGAAGTTGTGAGTTGATGATAAATATCTGTATCACCATTCGTGATCAAAAATCAGCAACTACAAGACTTTGGACACACGAACTTCATAGTTAAAGAAAGGATTAATCTTGGAGCTGTGTTTTTATCAGGGAATTATACTCTTCATTACCTCTGTGAATCGCAGTTATTAGAGTAGAAAGAGAGCAAAGAAGGGAAACAAACATAGAAAATTTTATTCTAGATTACCTCAGTTGGCTTCATGCTACCATAGTTCTGGCTTTTAAAAAGTCATTTTGTGGTCAAATGTACTTTGTGTTTACTCCCTTTATGCAGCCTACAACCAAACAAAATGCTTCTTAGCAAGGCATTTGTATTCTTCCCTTAAGGAAAGCAACATATAAATAACAAAGAGAATGAGGAGAAAGAGTAATTTCATTGAAGTTGGTATTTAACATAAATTTGTGTGCGGGTACCATGATTATATTTAGAATTTTGGGCCTGGAATAGAAAACCAGCTAGACGTCTACAGATTTCCTACTCAAACACAATGTGCCTTTGTTTTATTTTTACATCTGTAATTTTGCAATTATTAGGTACAACTCTATGCAGTGTCACTAAAAATACCTTCCAAAACCAAATATTAAATAATGCCTATGGTTTTCTGTATTATAATGTTGATTTCCCCAATATTAATGGGAACCATTGAGCATTTGCCTTGTGGTGTCTCCTGAGCTGTATTCACACATTCCATCACCTTGTCTTAATGGATAATCATGCACTATGAGTATGGGTTTTCAGAAGAGCTGTATCATTTAAAGATAACACAGGAGCATCAAATTTAATTCTGCTAGAATACCTGGTCTATTGATTAACTGCAGCTAATATGGGGTCTACTTCACATACAAGTTAAATTCAGTGCCCTTAATCAGTCATATGGTCAGGTCAACAGTAATAAATTATGCAATATTTTTTCACCCCTATAGTTTTAATTTCTCTTTCCCCTTATGTCTAGAATTAACATTTTATTTTACAAAACATGATGATAATCTTCTAGAGTAGTGATGACAAAGTATAAATCCAAAGTTTCTTACCTATGCAAATGACTTGTTTGCTTCTATTTTCTCATGAGCTTGGTAGATCCAGGAAACAGAACTTTTAAAACAAAATCCCCATATGTGGCTGGGCGCGGTGGCTCGTGCCTGTAATCCCAGCACTTTGGGAGGCTGAGGCGGGCAGATAACCTGAGGTTGGGAGTTTGAGACCAGCCTGACCAACATGGAGAAACACATCTCTACTAAAAACACAAAATTAGCTGGGCATGGTGGCACATACCTGTAATTCTAGCTACTCGGGAGGCTGAGGCAGGAGAATCACTTGAACCTGGGAGGCAGCAGTTGCGGTGAGCTGAGATTGCACCACTGCACTTCAGCCTGGGCAGCAAGAGTGAAACTCCATCTCAACAACAACAACAACAACAACAACAACAGCAACAGCAACAACCACCACAAAACCCAAATGCATTTCCTTGGCACAGTAAAACTGAAACAGAAAAAGTGTAAAGTAAATACAAGTAACTGAAACAGTTTATGTATATTATTTTACTTCTCATTTGATAAAATTTGTAAAGTAATGAGCAGAGTGTATTTCTCCAGGGACCCAGATATATACATTTATTCATTCAATAAAAATTCATGCTTACAATGGCCACTGATACTTATGTCCTAAATATTTCTGAAAACATCTCCTCAGGCCTGCATCATCTTTGCAACACTGCCTTATATTTTATCTTTGTTCATTGATTTATATGCCTCAGAATTTTATGCTCCTCACAATAATTAGAGTTAATTATCTCTAATGCAAATAGATCTGTGAACCACTCCTGAATACCTATGTCCAAGCATCTTAAAGTTTTATATAAGGATTTCAGAAACTGATTTCTGGGTTGGGCATGGTGGCTCGTGTCTATAATCCCAGCACTTTGGGACGCTGAGGCAGGTGGATCATTTGAGGTCAGGAGTTCAAGACCAGCCTGGCCAACAAGGTGAAACCCCATCTCTAATAGAATACAAAAATTAGCAGGTGGTAATGGCACATGCCTGTAATCTCAGCTACTTGGGAGGCTGAGGCAGGAGAATTACTTGAACCTGGGAGGCCGGGTTGCAGTGAGCCAAGATCATGCCACTGCACTCCAGTCTGGGAGACAGAGTAAGACCTTGTCCCAAAAAAAAGAAAAGAAAAGGAAACTGATTTCTGCCCAAATCTCCATCTGTAGCCCTTTCCCCATCTGCCTTTTTCTCTGGAATTACTGAGCTGCTGGTAATGGCCCCCTCACCATTCCTCTTTTGCAGAGAAATACATACTCTCTTGGAGGCTTCTCTCCCTCTCTTGTTGCTGCCTGGCATGTGCTCACCCTTTCCTGCCCTCTGCCTCACTTAATCTGGCTAACCTTACTCTCTAAGTCTCAGCTCATGCATGATCTTTAGGAAAGCCATCCCTGACAGCTTTTATTTTCCTTCCTTATACCCCAGTGCCTAACACTTAGCAGGAACTCAATAAGTAATTATTTAGCAAAATTAAGACTGTTTATACAAAGATGATTCAAAAGATTGTCCTCTACAGTCTAACAGCAAAGGGGATCAACATGTAAAGACATGATGTGCAGTTCAGGTGGTAAAGTGACGCTGGAAAAGTTGACAAAGTACTAAGGAACTCCAATGAAGCAGACACCTGTGTGTGTGGAGAAAGACAGCTAGAATCAAGGAAGACTTCACACAGCATTCTGAGCCTTTTTTTTTCTTTTTCTGTTGTTGGAGACAAGTTCTTACTCTATTACCCAGGGTGGAGTGCAATGGTGTGATCGAGACTCACTGCAACCTCAAACTCCTGGGCTCGAGGGATCTTCTCACCTAAGCTTCTTGAGTAGCTGGGACTACAAGCACATATCACCATACCTGTCCAATTTTTTGTAGAGTCAAGGTTATCTATGGTTCCCAGGCTGGTCTTAAACTCCTGGCCTTGAGCAGTTCCCCCATTTTGGCCTTCCAAAGTGCTGGGATTACAGATGTGAGCTATTATGCCCAGCCTACTTTCTGAGTCTTAAAAGATGAAAATAAATTTTTCAGAATAGTAGGGGAAAACATTTGCGATGTAAAAAATGGGGTGCACACTAATTAAGGTATAAACAACAATAATTTTGCAAATTATTAGTAACTGCCAACTCAATTAGTGTCTTGTTAAAAAGATACTGTTATGAAGTATAGTAAAGTGTTACATTGTATATTTTGACTGTATTTCAAAATTTTGTTTTGTTTCTAACAGTTTTGTTGATTTATGTTGGGTGGAACAATTTGTGAGTGACCCTGAGATTTCATATGGCTTGAACCTGGTGATATCTAATGTCTCCCCAAGTGGTTTGTTGAAATTTTGGATGATTAGAAGTATTTCTTAAAGAACTAAATATTTCAGTAAACATTAAGCTTCATTGAAACTCTCAAAATATAAAATACAAAGAAATGTTATTCTCTATTTATTTTTATATAGATTATAGTCTTTATCTAACTGTTCTTAGTTCATTTGAACTAAACCAATGAATTTGTCAACAGAACAAGCCTTACCAGTGGCTTCAGAGGAAGAGCAAGAAAGGCATGAAAGAAGTGAAAAGAAGCAACCACAGGTATATGAAAATTCAAGTTTCTTGTTTAATATTGGGTTTTGTTTTTTTGCTTCAGTAACAAAGCATAGTCCAAATGACATGACCTTTTAGACTATACCTTTAGAATCCGATAGATCATAATTTTATATTTAATTTTTAAAACATCTTAACCAGTTATGAAACTTAAGATATTCTTACTATCTCTAGTAACTATTAGTTATTCTGGTAATTCTTACTATCTCTAGTAACTCATAGCTGTCTTTACCCTTGGAATTGAGGCAAGACATTTTCAGAATTATCTTGCTCTTTTATTGTTATAACCTTACTCATAATACAGAAGGTAACATGAAATATTGGGTCATATTATTAAGGAATAGAAATTGTGAACAATTTAACAATGATGGCCACTGAGTTAAACTAGTGTTAAAGGAGTCATCATTGCCAATGGTTCAAATGTTGCAGTTTTATATTGCTGGTCACCAGTGCCGAGGTTAAAGATTTATTCTGTTTTGTGGTCACCATTTGACTTCTGTGTCTGTGTTCAGGGAGTGAGTGGGGTCATAAAAGTCAACCCAGTTGCCTATTAAGAGAATCCTACCTTGTGGAATGGGACCTTTGGTGTCAGGGTACAAACAATAACTTTATTTTGACATAAATACATAGTAAATGTTACTAAAATTTAAAAAATCCATCCACTATCACTAGTGGAACTTAAAATATATTAGAAGTGGATATAAGCAGATAATCCATCTAGATACATAACACTATCATAGTATATTATTTGAATTAGAATTTAAATTTTTGCTTCCCTTTCTTATTGGTGTTCAGTTTGGCTCTTAATAATTCAGTGTTTGCCTAGTCTGTAGTTAATCTTCAGAAATATACACGTACTGTAGGGGCTCACTTTTTCTGGTATGCTGAGGTAAAATCTTTGTAAGAGAGGAAGATTTTATAATACTACCTATCAGCTTTGAATTCATTTCTGGTAGATTTTACACATAATGCATTAAGTTTAATCCAAACAAATGCTAAGCGTTCAGCTTGCCAGTTCATATTTCTGTCCTATGTTAAGCCAAGGCAAATTATTTTTCACTTTTTAGTTACAATCCCATAATTTAAGAGTGGCAACACATAGATTAAGTTTCACAGTTAAATTTTAATTATTTTCTAGTATTTTTGTTTATACTTGATTAAAGCTAATTTTAAAACATGCACTCTGACAGAAAAGGCATCTGAGAAACAAAACAAGCAAATTTGTTTTCCATTTTGCACCTGCCAAAAAAAAAAAAAGTCTCAAGAACCAGAACTGGGTAAGAATTGTGATAAAGGGAATAATCTGTCTGTATATTCACGACTTTCTTTAAAATTCATTACAAACAAGTTCAAGCTGAATATTGGTGAAAGTTTTGAAAACTCCAGAATTACTGCTTGCCCTGAGGAAGAGCTCCTACATAGTAACTCTAAAGAGGGACGAACAAAAAAGGAGTGCCCTCTAATCTGATGAATCAGGTCCCTGATTGTGAGGAGGAAGATGCATCTGGAGGGTCTAACTCTGTGGCATTCCAGGCAGCGCCTGAACAGAGGAAGCCCATGTCAAATGTCTTTTTATTCCATTCATACTCCAGGTCCCTGAAATACAGTTACCAGTCATCTTCTAAGCTTCATTTAAATGAAAATAAATCAGACTATAAAAATGATAGCAAACCAGACACATAGCTTGTTTCTAACACAGATGATGAAAATTTTTGTAATGATACTGAAACCAAAAAATTAAGGAACCCAGTAATTATGATTGAAATGAAAGATGATTAAGAGTTTGACATGCAAATGGCAAAAAATGTAAACCCAGATACCACTAATTGGAAATTGGACATTAGGCATTGGCCTCAGTCTAGAGATCCAGAAAGTCTTTTTGATTTGTTGTTTACCCACCCCAAAGAAATGAAGCATATGATTCAGATAGAAAGCCACAGTATTTCTGCTGCTACAGATACTTATAAAAACAGAAAACCAATACAGCGTTTATTCCAGCAGCCACTATATGGCAATCCCAGTGCTAACAACTACAGAAGCATGAATCTTGAATTATAAAATGTGAGTTATTCTTTACCACATAGTGAGAGAACATCAAAAATATAGCTAGAAGACTTATGGGAAGATATTCCAAGGTCACCAACATGGCACATGAATAGATATGTAACAAACCTGCATGTTGTGCACATGTACCAGAACTTAAAGTATAATAATAATTAAAAAAAGAATGAGGTAGGCATGTTACAAGTTGAGTTCCTGGCTTTGGAGAAAAGCAAGTCCAACTTCAAAAAGACAGAGGTTCACTTGCTGCTTCTTTTTCCTCTTTATCAATTATTTGATTTAGTCAAATTTTCTATTCAAGAAAATCTCATGTGTACAGTTACAGTGGGGTTATCTAAATGTGTAATTATGTGTCAAAGTAGATTAGTTCTGCTATCTGAATAATGGTTCTGGAGAATGTTCTCATAATGTTTGTTCATTAATCAACCTATGTCTCACTATCAGTCTTCCAAGTGGCGTATGAGCTGGGAAACTAATTAAGCCACATACCATGTGACCTTCTGAACCAGATCAACATAAAGAAATTGCTAAAGAAACAAGCTCTAGATTCTAGATTCTTTTTTCTTGTATTCATTTAGAGATAATTTACATTTATTTAATGATAGAATGGGAATACAATGGGAGGGAAGCAATGACTGAGACAAGCCACAAAAACACGTCTAGCCTTGAGAGTTGCAACGAATATTCCCAGCCAAATGAGTCTGTTTAATGTGTTTTCATGCATGCAAGTTTATCTGCTTAGCTCAAACTGTTTGAACTTACAGTCCCATCATGGTTATTTCCAATATTTTTGAAAACAAACATATACTTACACATATTTTAAAAAATCACCACTCTGCAATATTTCTGTTGAATCAGACCTTACGTTATGTTGTTTAATAAAGTATGGTAAGTTTTGGCATGTATGATTTTTATCATATAAGAAGCATAATTTCTTAGCCAAAAATTTAGCCTTTGACTCTTTAGTAGAAAGTTGAGTTCTGTACATTGTGTTCTAAAGATAGACAAAAATCTAGAGATTTTCTTCTTTCAAAGTAAAAGCAGATGAGGCCTTTTTCCACCCTCTGAGGCATTAAATTGCTTTGCTCAAGTTAGACTTTTAATATATCTAATTTGATAAATTTATCTGGTAATTTATGTAATTCAGCAATATGGAATTGTATCATGTTATATGGTGCCATGAAATGCTAGTGAATGCCACCTCAAGAGCTCTGGATGAAACATTTAATATGTCTTGGTTGGTTTGACTCCCATTATCAGTAGATAATGGGGTTAAAGTAGGTAACTGTACCATATGTTTTCCACCTATAAACTTTTGTGGTAATTGAATGTGAAATCTGGGAAGCATCTCATTTTCCAGAATTCTGCACTAGAAACTCAGCAGTTTCACTCTGCTTCTTTTGTTGTGGCAAACGTTGGTTCCCATAATTCAAAGAGAACCTTTACTTTTTTGATATCACAGGATTCAAAAAAAAAAAAAGAGAGAGATAAAAGGCAGTGGGGAAAAGAGTAGCTCAGTACAGAAAAGGGAAAACTTCTTTACTGTTCCTGAAGGCCTACAAGGTCACATCTTCTTAATCTGGCTATTTCATGTAAAATCCAGGTAGTAAAGACAGAAGACATATATTATGCCTGTGTCTTTTTATTTCTCTGTTTCTGCCAGCCAGATAGCATAAAAATTTATACCAGATAGCAAAGAGTGGATGGGAATAAAAGCACAAAATGGAGAAGAGCCCTTTTTGAAATTTTGGAAAATTCTTCTATTCCCTCAAACAGAAATGAGCAGATTTGACAAAAATTTCGATGATAAAATAAGAGTATCTTATAATTATAATAATTATGTATAATGATAAAATTAAAGTAAGCACAAAATACTTTTATCATTAAAGTGGTGATAGTTAACCTGAATCAAGTAATAAAAATCAGGGAAAAAGTTCTTTTTATTGAATAAAATAATAACAATTATTATTCATCTTTTATTAAAGGTCAAAGAAGGAAATAATACAAACAAAAGTGAAAAAATACAACTTTCAGAAAATATATGTGATAGTACATCTTCTGCTGCTGCTGGCAGATTAACCCAACAAAGAAAGATTGGGAAAACGTATCCTCAGCAATTTCCCAAGAAGCTGAAGGAAGAGCATGATAGGTAAGCCTATAGCAGTGTTTTTTTGTTTGTTTGTTTGGTTTTGGGTTTTTTTTGTTTGTTTTTGTTTTTTTGAGATGGAGTTTCTCTCTTGCTGCCCAAGCTGGAGTTCAATGGTGTGATCTCAGCTCACTGCAACCTCTGCCTCCTGGGTTCAAGCGATTCTTCTGACTCAGTCTCCCTAGTAGCTGGGATTACAGGCATGTGCCACCATGCCCGGCTAATTTTTTGTATTTTTAGTAAAAATAGGATTTCACCATGTTAGCCAAGCTCGTCTCGAACTCCTGACTTCACGTGTTCTGCCCACCTCGGCCTCCCAAAGTGCTGGGTTTACAGGAGCGAGCCACCGTGCCTGGCTGCCTATAGCAGTATTTCACAGGAGATAATTGTCATTGTGCTATAAACTAATTGAAAATTGGACTAATATTCCTTATGATTAACAAGTTTTATATTTTTACCAGGGGTATTTAGCCCTGCCTGGTATTCAGAAAAAAGCAAATTAACATAAAATAAGATATATTTTGTAAAGTCATGCTGATATTTAAAAAGTAATTATTAGTGTTGGCAAATGTGAGGAAAAAGGCATTCTCATACACTGTTGGTATAGGAAATTAGTAAATTATTTCTGAAGGGTAACTTAGTGCTGTGTATCAAAATTTCAAATAGCCTGACATCCCTTTAACTCAACAACTCCACTTCTGGGGCTAGATTTCACAGGAAAACATAACTGGTGTAAACATACACACACTTATTAATATATAATTAACATGCATTAATTATATATTACACATAATGAACAATAGGTTAATGAATATATAAAATATATGTAATAAGAAGGTGAATTGAAAGTATTAAGAAAGAAATATAAAAAGTGTGGGGAAACAGATGTTAGACTTTTTAGCCTAGTTTTGGATGACAGTCATCTGCAGATATAGTTTGTGTGAGAGACATCTGAAGGTGTCATCTCACTCTGTAAATCATTTGGAGAAACACCTGCAATATTTCATAAAGATGAAAATTTATTTCTAGTGAACTTATACGCTTGTCAATAAATAGTAACTTTAAAAATTTAGTTGATTGTAAATGATCTTTTCTAATTAGGGAGTAATTATGACTGTGTGATTTAAAAAGGTAATTTTGAACCTGTAACTTTACTGAATTATCTCTGGTATCCTTTTTTATAATATATATTAGAGTGACTAGTAACAAAAACTTTAGCAGAATATTCTTTCCTTACTACTTTTCAAGTATATGCATTCATTTGAAGATGTTGAAGTGAGAAATTAAATATCTGAGAACTGCAAAGGAAAAATAATCCAGAACATAGAAATTTTATTAGGATAATAAACAACATCTGCAGAGGTAGATAACAGGATGAACTCCTTATTTTTTAACAAAATGAATTTTAAGACAAATGTCTTTATCTGCAGATGCACCTTAAAACAAGAAAATGAAGAAAAAACAAATGTTAATATGCTGTACAAAAAAAATAGAGAAGAATTAGAAAGGAAAGAGAAACAATATAAGAAAGAAGTTGAAGCAAAACAACTTGAACCAACTGTTCAGTCACTAGAGATGAAATCAAAGACTGCAAGAAATACTCCAAATCGGGTAAATCAATCTTTGGTAAAAATTCTATATTTTAAACTTTATCTTATCACTGTTACTTATAATATCCACTTGATTTAATATATATTGTTTAGGTCTAAAACCATAAATGTTATCTCATTTTTAAAAATGAATGATGACACTTACAGGTACAATTATTAATATTTATTATAAATCTTGGCATCCACATAGGATATTATTTTATTACAAAGAGCTTTTGAAAACAATAATATGCCATAATTTATACTTAGTGATAACCTATTGATAAAAATTTTGTTCCAGGTAAAATTTTTCCTTGTACTTTCCCCTATTTCATATTGATTACTGCACCTAATATTATAAAGAGGAAACAGAAATTATTGCAATCGCAAATAATCTCATGATATTCTAAGAAGAGCTCTATAAATTTTATCTTATTTACTATTGGCGTTTTGAAATAAAAGTTTTCTTTCGTATTGATGTATTTACACCACAGAAGTAACTGTGATCTGTTGGAGAACTAGAAGTAGAGTCAGAAGTCCTGGGGAAAATCCTGTAGCTTGCTTATATTTTTAACATTTCTTTTTCAAAATTATGGTAACTAGATGAGTTCATCAATGAATGTATATAGGAGTGACTAGTATAATGTCTAGTTTATGATTTAGTGAATGTAATTCTTATAACTGACTATAAAAGTGTTAAAAGAGTCAAACTGAAATAGAATGTTATCAGTGAAACAGAACTGTAATAACTCTGGGAAATTTTATCTGTCCAAATATGTGTGAACAAAAGTTCTTACTATAGGGTGGTGTATGGGTTAGGTATCAAAGTGTAAATGCAATTTTTTGATATATCTTAATTTAGTCAAATTTGTTAATGCTTTAATTTATGCTTTTGAGTTTGTTGTAATTCAGGGAAAGGCTTTTCCAATTCTGATATTCTTAAAAATTCTCTGGTGTGTGTGTGTGTGTGTTTACTTTTATAAATTCATTGACTCTAAATACATTTCTGAACTTTCTGGAATTTATGCTCTATAAGGTTCAAAGTTTTGCTTCAACTTTTTCTCCAGGTGGATATCCACTTATGGTAAACTTTTTAGTGGTACGGATGTGCAGGTTATTCTTTAACTTCAGAGGTAATCATGATATGTTATTTTATTGAGTACTAGCTAAAACTTTCTTTTGTTTTATTTAGGATTTTCATAATCATGAAGAAATGAAAGGTCTGATGGATGAAAATTGCATTTTGAAGGCAGATATTGCTATACTCAGACAGGAAATATGTACAATGAAAAATGACAACTTGGAAAAAGAAAATAAATATCTTAAGGACATTAAAATTGTTAAAGAAACAAATGCTGCCCTTGAAAAGTATATAAAACTCAATGAGGAAATGATAACAGAAACAGCATTCCGGTATCAACAAGAGCTTAATGATCTCAAGGCTGAGAATACAAGGCTCAATGCCGAACTGTTGAAGGAAAAAGAAAGCAAGAAAAGACTGGAAGCTGACATTGAATCTTATCAGTCTAGACTGGCTGCTGCTATAAGCAAACACAGTGAAAGTGTGAAAACAGAAAGAAACCTAAAACTTGCTTTAGAGAGAACACGAGATGTTTCTGTACAAGTAGAAATGAGTTCTGCTATTTCCAAAGTAAAAGATGAGAATGAGTTTCTTACTGAACAACTTTCTGAAACACAAATTAAATTCAATGCCTTAAAAGATAAGTTCCGTAAGACAAGAGATAGTCTCAGAAAAAAGTCATTGGCTTTAGAAACTGTACAAAACGACCTAAGCCAAACACAGCAGCAAACACAGGAAATGAAAGAGATGTATCAAAATGCAGAAGCTAAAGTGAATAATTCCACTGGAAAGTGGAACTGTGTAGAAGAGAGGATATGTCACCTCCAACGTGAAAATGCGTGGCTTGTACAGCAACTAGATGACGTTCATCAGAAAGAGGATCATAAAGAGATAGTAACTAATATCCAAAGAGGCTTTATTGAGAGTGGAAAGAAAGACCTCGTGCTAGAAGAGAAAAGTAAGAAGCTAATGAATGAATGTGATCATTTAAAAGAAAGTCTCTTTCAGTATGAGAGAGAGAAAACAGAAGGAGTAGTAAGTATCAAGGAAGATAAATATTTTCAAACTTCTAGAAAGAAAATTTAAACATTTGGTTCTGGATACATGTTGAACTTAGTTGAATATAAAAATCTAGATTAAAAGTGTGTTTACCATACTGTATAATTCCATTTACATGAAGCATCCAGAAAAGATAAATGTATAGGGACAAAAAGTAGATTCATGTTTGCAAGGGGCTGGGGCTGGAAGCTGGTAGTGACTGCTAATGGGCATGAGGAATCTTACAGTGATGGAAATGCTCTAAAGTTGGATTGTAGAGATGGCTGCACAACTCAGTAAATGTACTAAAAATCTTTTAACTTAAAACAGATACATTCTATAGTATGTAAATTATATTTCAACAAAGCTGTTTTAATAAAAAAAGGAAAAATGTGTTTACTATATCGGCTTAGAAACATGCCTCATTTCTAGGAAATAAAAGATAGAGGTGAGAGATGATTTACTTTGAGAAAAGACATTGTGTCACCTATGAAATTTTATTAGGCACAGAGTCATATTTTAAGGTAGATAGTTCTGTATTGCTGAAATAGTAATTTTAATGTCTTTATGTTGCCACATGTTAAGACCATAATGTAGTTATAAATGGAAATGTTTACACCTGAAGTGAGTATTTTCAAATTAAAATTTAATTAAGTGATTTTCTTCGACACTTAATTCTAGATTCCCCAGATGAATTGAAGTGTATTGCTGTGTCTTGTAATACCTTGCTTTAACTAGCTTTTTATGTATTTTAGTTGGTATAGCTTTGTTATTATTCATATTAACAAATCTGAAAATATGTCAAATTACGTGTTTTTATGACCATGTAATGTTTTAAAGGCACCTACTTGTTATAAAATCATAATTTAGGATAAATGTGGTAAAACTTAGCAAAACTATATTTGGTTTAGTTTTCCCACTGGTATTTATAGTTTACTTTGAATATTTATATTAATAATTAGCTCATAATTTTTATTGCAAGGCTCAATGACTGTCATTGGAATATAATTTTGTTCAGTACAAAGATACTTGTAGCTGTCTGTGATTTACGAGTTAGGCACTACATCTCCATTTTCAGACTGAGGGGTGGCAGGCTTCACATACAGTGGGAATGGAGTAATTACAGGAGGGAGTTGTAGGAGCTTTGAAGTCAGAGAGGGAGGTAGAGGCCTTTTTACCTAGGGCCTCAAAGGCCATTGGAATTTTACTTTTATTCTGAGATAGGAATCTGTTGGAAGGATTTGAACAGGTGATTGAATATGTTAGGAACTTTGAGGCTGAGTTGAGCTTCTGAGATGATTGAATGTTGGAATGAATCTGTTGTGTAAGTAAGAGAATACCAATTTGGCAGGAAGAGAACATATTCTGCATCCCTCACTGAATTCAGTAATAAATAAAAATGTGTACATGTGATTAAAAGAAGGTGAATTGATATGTGTGGTGATAATTTTCAAAGTAGATATGTTAGAATTAAACATTATTAACATAATTTAATAAGGCAGTTTATAAAATCAGTAACAAATATTTTATCAGGTGGTTGTGAGACAACTTCAACAAGAAGTGGCTGACAGCGTAAAAAAATTAACGACGTTAGAGTCTCCACTGGAAGGTATATCACGTTGTCACATTAATTTGGATGAGACACAGGCCTCAAATAAGAAATTATTTCAAGTGAAAAGTCAAGTATGTATGGAATTTAACATGTCAACAGTTATTCTGTAGCTAGTTGAATTATATAACGTGTTTTAGGATACTAATTTTGGCAGAAGCTTGATTTTTTATTTTCATTATAATGAATGATTTCCATTTTACTATCTTTATAATGTACTATTTTTTTATATTGTGACTTTCATTATACCATTTTGAAAAACCATTGCATACCTTTTCTCTTACAATATGTACCCTTGGAAAAGTTGAGAATTATACATCATTCCTCATAGAAAATTGACTTTTTTCCTGTTAAACAGTATTTTTAAGTAATTTGTGTATTGCTCTGATGAGGCAAGCCAGATTAAATCAGAGGAGAATGTTTCATGGAATGTTCCAGAAAATTGTCTTATTTCTTCACTTTTGTGAATGGACACAGAATCTGTGTCTATTTGTTTCACAGATTCTAGGTTAACTTGTACAGAAAGGCCATTATACTATTCTTTGAAATGTGCATGTTTTAGGTTAATTTACAAACTATTTGAAAAGTTAGGCATTTTCTTTATCTTTTATTTAAAATATACTGTAAAACTGTAGAAATATTTAGATTTGATATAGCATGTACATCAAAAATTAAGAGTTGAGAAAATTATCTTGATCCTGCCTTTGGATTTTAAAAAGATTCACTGAGATGTCATTCACATATCAGACAGTTCAACCATTTAAAATGTACAACTCAGTGTCTATTAGTATGTTCACAGCATTTTCGTCACCCTGAAAAGTGACCCCACATCTCCTAGGCATGACTGCAGCCTTCCTCCATGTCCCTCCACCTACCCCTGTTGTAGGCAACCACCGTCTACTTTTGTCTCCATATGTTTGCCTGTTCTGCATATTTCATATACATAGAGTTATACAATATGTAGTCCTTTGTGACTGGCTTTTTCACTTAGCATAATGTTTTCAGAATTCATGCATGTTTTAGCACACATTCGTAGTTTATTTCTTCTTATAGTTAAATGATATTCTATTCCATGGCTATACTGGTTTTCCATTCGTTCATCAGTTGATGGACCTTTAGGTTAGTTTCCACTTTTTAGCTATTATGAAAAATGCTGCTGTGAACATTCACTTACAGGTTATTATGTGGACACGGGTTTTTATTTCCCTGCCATTGGACTTTATCCTCAGAGTTAATTGGGCAGATTTCAGCACTTGTCTTGCTCATGCTATTCTTTCTGCCTTCTCAGTTTCTGTTCATCTAGCCTCATTCATTCAGACCTGGCAGACAATTTTTTTGTTTTCATGAAGCTTTCTCTGACTGTTCTGTCATTGACCTTATGTGTTAGCAATCGTTGTCTAGTCTGTGCTGAAAAACTTAGTCCTTAATTTTACATGGCTTTTATTTTTTTATGGAAGATAATTTTCTCTCATTATAAATTTGCTTAATGGGGGAATAATATATAATGTGTATGCCACCTATCCTTGCATACATTGAAAATATTTTAGCTTAGAAGTTTGTAGCATACAATTCAATCATTTATACCATACCAATTATTTCTTCTTTGAGACCTTGACACAGTAAGGTTATATTCTAAATATATTTTTAGCAATTAAATATCAAATCTAACCCAATTAGTCTAACACAGGAGATGCGTTCAATCACGTGTTTATGTTTTTCTCTCTATGAAAAAGAATATAAATTGGCCTTTTTTCACTATGCAGCCATTACTGTGTTTCTGGACTGCTCCCAGTCTGTCAGCTGAACAGTTCTGGGTGCAGCTTGTCTGATGAAGGATAGCACAGCCCCTCAATCTGAGTGCTCAGCAGAGTGCTTGTGAAGGCAGCACCACAGCAACAGTTGCTCAGAGGGAACGGATTCAGGAGCCTTGACTTAGCAATAGAGTCCAGGGTTTTCAGCTCAGTGTCTTTAGCCTGTCTCTGCTGGTCATGTCAGTTACGTACTATTCCATCCAGGAGGTGCTATTTACATTGTAGTACATACACAGTCATTGCCTAATGAGTCATACAGAGAGAAAAGTAAGTTATAAATTATGTCCCCCATTTGCTGCAACTCTCAGTGTTAAGAATGATTCAGTGCAGCTATAGGAGACTACTTCCATTGGCATGCCACCTGCGTAAATACACAATTTTGTTAAGATATACAATAAAATTATTATGCTAATAGCAAATATTTTATGTAGCTCACTATGTTCCATGTAGTCTTCTAAGTGCTTCATGTTAGTCCCCATTTAAACACCTGGTTTTGGAAGGCTGAGGCAGGAGGATTGCTTGAGCCCAGGAGTTTGAGACCAGCCAGAGCAATATAGTGAGACTCTGTCTCTAAAAAAAAAAAAAAAAATTTTTTTAAACACTTAGCTGAGGCATGGTGGTGCATGCCTGTAGTCCCAGCTACATTGGGAGGCTGTGGTAGGAGGGTTGTTTGAGCTTGGAATATTGAGGCTGCAGTGAGCAGTGATCAAGCCACTGCACTCCAGCCTAGGTAGCAGAGGGAGACTCTGTCTCATAAATAAATCATGTTGTATAGATTCCCATAGAAGTGAGTTAGACATCAGGCATAGAATTATTAGCCGCTTTGATGTCTGCCTTGGGAGTAAAACACATAATAAGGGGCAGCTTTAAACCATCTCAATCAATAGCCTCTAACTTCTCCAGAAGGTTCTTATTTCATGAATTTCTAAGCAAGGGACTACCTGGATTAAGACATTTGGTAGACACCATTTTGAGATGAAGAATCTTGAATGGGAAGAAGGGAGATCTCTACTTACTGAAGCTTCCCGATGACATAGTTGAGTGTCCCCCAAAAGGAACTTTAGAACAAGATGTTCATCATGCCATATCTCTATGGAAAAGGAAATTATTTAAAAGAAAACAAAGGCAAACAATTGATAATCTGATTCTCATGGGAAAGTTTTCATTATCAAAGAAAAAGAGGGCTGGGTTCCATGGCTCACATCTGTAATCCCAACACTTTGGGAGGCTGAGAGGGGTGGATTACCTGAGGTCAGGAGTTCAAAAACAGCCTGGCCAACCCAACATGGTGAAACCCTGTCTCTACTGAAAATACAAAAATTAGCCAGGCGTGGTGGTGTGCACCTGTAGTCCCAGCTACTTGCCAGGCAGAGGCAGGAGAATCACTTGAACCCAGGAGGTAGAAGTTGCAGTAAGCTGAGATGGCACCACTGCACTCCAGCCTGGATGACACAGTGTGACTCCATCTCAAAAAAAGAAAAGGACAAAGTATATTGGTCCAAAAAAGAAGAAAGAATGAAAAAAAGGACAAAGTATACTGGTTAGTATCGTAACAGTGAGATAGTCCCCCTTTGAGATTAGAAAATAACAGTATACTCAAAGTAACATCAATAAGAACCAACATAAAATAGACAAGATTCACTATCTACAAAAGTAATCTGCACCAAGTAGCAATGTATGAGCATGTGGTGGAGAATATTGTCTATAATATGTGTACTAGAAGGAAGAGACCTCAAGAAAAAGGTCAGAGCTGGAAATGTAGATTAGGGAATCTAGGTCAAAGTTTTGAGATTTTAGGAGTCCTGAGAGAATTTAAAAAGCGAAATAGCCACCGGGCGTGGTGGCCACACCCATAATCCCAGCACTTTGGGAGGCCAAGGCAGGCAGATCATGAGGTCAGGAGTTCAAGACCAGTCTGACCAACATAGTGAAACCCCGTCTCTACTAAGAATACAAAAAATTAGCTGGGTGTGGTAGCACATGCCTGTAATCCTAGCTACTTGGGAGGCTGAGGCAGGAGAATCGCTTGAATCCAGGAGGTGGAGGTTGTGGTGAGCCGAGATCATGCCACTGCACTCCAACCTGGGTGACAGTGGGAGACTCCATCTCAAAACAAAAAACAAAAACAAAACAAAAAACCAGAAAAGGATAGGGCTGAAGAACAGAGGTTGCTGCATTTAGAAAGGAGGCGGGGTCAGAGGAATAGAAAGGGATAGGGCTGAAGAACAGAGGTCACTGCATTTAGAAAGGAAGTGGGGTCAGAGGAGCAGAGGGAGCATTTGGTCACTGCTCTGCTGAGTAAAGCAGGATAAAGTCCTTCATGACCGTTGGACTTTTTTATTGGAATTATTAAAAATCAGATTTCAATATAAAAAACACAATAATTGATGAAAAAAGATTTCTGAATGAAACCATGTGTCATAGAGTCCAATGGAAGGGGAGAAACAGGATAATAGAAAAGCCACAAAAAGTAGACGAAAGTTGTTTTTGTTTATTGTAGAAAAAAATAAACTTTATTTAAAGAGAAATGGTTAAGAGAAAGGGAAAAACTGAAACCTGTGGGTGAATACTTAGAATGACAGTATTTAGCTCAGCCTGAAGACAGATGAGGATGAAAAATGTAATGGGAACTAGATAAGAGTTTTCTAAAATTTGTCTTAGTAAGATGTAATTTAAGAGAACTTGGAATATCTTAAACTGTTAAAAACAATATTTCTAGAGCATCTTTAAAAACTAAAATGTAAATATAACTACTCTTTTTTTTTTTAACTAACCCTTAGTATTTTGTGTGTAAAAACCCTCATTTGTAACAAACATTGTTGGCAGTTTAAATTTCAGAAAAGATAATGATGAAAATTTGAATCATTTTTAGCAGTTTTAAGAAAAGTGACTATTATTGAAATCTGACCTTATTGGCATCAGGTTTATAAAATACACTTTATACACCTGCATAAATACGTATTACTAATCCACTTATGAGAAATAATATTTTTGAGATAAAAGAGGGTCTCCAGATTTTACAAAAATAATTTTAAACACTTTTTTTAAGCCTAAAAAAGAAAATGAAGAATTAAGAAAACTTTTTGAGTTAATATCATCACTGAAGTATAATGTGAATCGAATAAGAAAGAAAAATGATGAATTAGAAGAAGAGGCAACTGGGTATGGTTTTCATATTGTAGAACATGTTAGCCATTTATTAATTGATTTAACTCTAATTTTACTTGACTAAAACCTAGATACAAATTCATTTTATGTTTGCATTTTCATAATTAAATGAATTCTGTTTTAAAATGTATTTCAGAAACTCACAGCACAACTTTTTAGACGTGTGTCATGGGGGTGGGAGTCAGCTGAGCTGCTGGGGCAAGGTGAAATTTTTTTTGAATGCCAAAATATTCTTTTTTTTTTTTTTTTTTTTTTTGAGAAAAAGTCTGGCTTTGTTTCCCAGACTGGAGTACAATGGCGCGGTCTTGGCTCACTGCAACCTATGCCTCCAAGCAATTTTCCTGCCTCAGCCTCCTGAGTAGCTGGCATTACAGGCATGTGCCACCACACCCGGCTAATTTTTGTATTTTTATTAGAGACGGGGTTTTGCCAAGTTGGTCAGGCTGGTCTCGAATTCCTGACCTCGTGATCTGCCCGCTTCGGCCTCCCAAAGTGACATGAGCCACCATGCCCAGCCACTTATTCTTTAATGATTTTGAAAACAATGACCACGCCTTGGACATATAATGTCCAGTGCACTCTTCATTATCTGGTTTGAATTTTTATTTCTGAAGATATTTTTTGCTGTCTGTGGTCATTTTTTCTTCCTTTTGTAGTATCCTCTGCTGCATTCAAATTGTTTAAAGAAGACCTGTTTGTGTCATTCTTTAACATCAAATTTATCTTGATATGTAGCTTATATTTTGTTTCTGCTTTTTCTTTTAGATATAAAACGTGGAAATTTACTCATTGTACATGAGTACCTCTGTTGTATACATGAAGTATACATGTTATTAAACTTGTTTTACATAAATAAATTTCATATATATAAAAATATACGTATAACTTAAAGAAAAAGTAAAATGAACATTCATGTTTTGATCACAGATTTTTTTTAAAACAATGGAATCTGTCTTTGAAACCCTGAACACAGCTACTTTTCTATTTATTTACTGAGCACTTAATTTGGTTTTCTGATTAGAATCAACATTTTTCTGTCATTGCTTTTCTCTACATGGTTTTGTATCTCTTTCATTTTGTTGACATTATGTCAGCAAAGATGTCTAGATCTCTTCTTCAAAGTCTTTAAATCGTCACACATCTCTCTGCCCCTTTCCTTTTTTCTAAAACTGCCTGTATCCTTTTTCTCCTCAACTCAGATATTAAAGATGTTTTCTTCTCTTTTTCTACATTGAATGATCTCCTTGATGCTTTTTGTGTGTACTTTTTTTTCTTCTGATAGACTGTGGTCAGTGGGTATCAAAATGTACTTTTGTGTCTTTTTAAATGTATGTGTTTTACTTTTTTATCTTGGTTACTCATCTCTGGGTTATGGCTTATATTTAGTAATACGTTATTTTACTTAGCATACCAACATGGATATCAGTAGTTTATTTACAAAAAGTGTATGGTTAGGCCAGGTGTGGTGGCTCACACCTGTAATCCCAGCACTTTGGGAGGCCAATGTGGGTGGATCATTTGAGGTCAAGAGTTCAAGACCAGTCTGACCAGTGAAACCCCGTCTCTACTAAAAATACAAAATGAGCCAGGCGTGGTGGTACACACCTGTAATCCCAGCCACTTGGGAGGCTGAGACAGGTGAATCACTTGAGTCCAGGAGGCAGAGGTTGCAGTGAGCTGAGACCACACCACTGCACTTTGGCCTGGGCAACAAGAGTGAAATTCCATCTCAAAACAAAACAAAAAACAAAACAAAAACACTGTATGGCTATAATATCACTTTACCTGCCATATATGCCATAAAATTGTTCTTCATATTATTTATCTAAGATTATAATTTCATATAGAATGCTTTCAAACTATGTTCAGTTGAAACTGAAAGTAACATAGTTTATAGATTTGTTTCTTTGATATGCCATAACAGATGTTTAAACAATTATTAAATATTTACTCTTAAAAATACTTGACTTACTAATTCTGTACATTTCTGCAGATATAAGAAACTCCTGGAAATGACAATAAATATGTTAAATGTATTTGGAAATGAAGACTTTGATTGCCATGGAGACTTAAAAACAGATCAACTGAAAATGGATATTCTGATTAAGAAGCTAAAACAGAAGGTAATTTAAAAAAATTATTTTATCTTAAGGTCTAGATTACATGTGTGAGACGTGCAGGTTTGTTATATAGGTAAACGTGTGTCATGTTGGTTTGCTGCACCTATCAATCCATCACCTAGATATTAAGCCCTGCAGGCATTAGCTATTGATCTTGATGCTCTCCCTCCTGATCCTAATAGGCCCCAGTGTTTGTTGTTCCCCTCCCCGAGTCCATGTGTTCTCATCATTCAGCTCTCACTTCTAAGTGAGAAGATGCAGTGTTTGTTTTTTTCTTCCTGCATTAGTTTGCTGAAGATATCAGCTTTGAGCTCATCCATATCCCTGCAAAAAGCATGATCTCATTCATTTTTATGGCTCCATAGTATTCCATGGTGTATATGTACCACATTTTCTTTATCCCGTCTATCACTGATGGACATCTGGGTTGATTCCATGGCTTTACTGTTGTGAATAGTGCTGCAATGAACATACAAATGCATGTATCTTTATAATAGAATAATTTATATTCCAACGTATGGTAATTTTAAATCAGTTTTGGTATTAAAAATCATGTAATTTTGGAAAATATTGATAATGGAAAAACCCAAATTCTGCCAAAATATGTTGAGAAAATAGAGGGTAAATATATCTTTTCAGACTTTGAATGCCTCAGGCTCTTAGTTAATCTTCCCCAGATCTGGGAAGACCTAGAAGGGGAGAGATTGGGCTACATTAATGAGGACCATTTCAATCTCTTGGCCCTGCAGCAGCCATTTCAAAATATGACAAAAAATATATTTTGGGGTAAAATATTTTGATTTCCTTCAGCTTCTTCTCTCTGTGATGCTGCACCAGAATCAGGTTAGAAAGGAAGCCACATTATAAGAGTTAATAAAACCCATCTGATGAGATTTGATAGTTTGAAGGGTGTGATTCCCAGACCCTTTAGATAGAAATTGGGGCCAAGGAAAACAAGGTCTTATTCCTCAATATAAATCTGTCAGTGCTTTAAGCAGTGAAAGATTTTTCATTTAATTTTACAGACTTGAAACTAATGAAAAGGATAGCTTTTAAAATATCAATCTCTTTTTCTATGAAAAGGACATGCTGTTGATTCTCTTAGGCCTTGAACCCTGGCCAGTGATCTGAAACCAAGCAGTACCTGTCTCCAGATCACTACTACCAAAATCACTAGTACCAAATTAATTTGGGGTGGGGGGTAACAGGTTTATTGAGAAATAATGAACACACCATGCAATTCACTCATTTAAAATATACAATTTATTAACTTCAGTATTTTCAGAGAGTTATGCAGTCATCATTACAATCAATTGTAGAACATTTTCATCACCCTAAAAACAAACCCCACATCATTTAGCTATCTTCACTAGTTTTCCCTTCCTCCCTCAGCCCTAGGTAACCACCCACCTTCTTTGTATAGATTTGCCTATAAGCCTCTGAAATGAAAAGCAAGTGGTCTACTGTGACTGGCTTATTTCACTTAGCATAATTTTCCATGCTGCATCTGTGCTGCAGCAGGTATTGATGCAGGGTTTTTGCTCCTTAGTTCAGCTCAATCTGGTTTCTTCTCTCATGACCAGGAAAAATTAAGCACACAGACACATTGAAGGGTGAGGAGGACAGAATTTATTAAGTGAAAGGAAAGCTCTCAGCAAAGAGGGGCGTCCTGCAAACAGGTTTCCACCTCACAATTGAATACCAGGAGCACAGGAGCTGAAGCGGCCAGGCTCCTGCTCTGCATAAGGCGTGAATTCCTGGTGACTCCACCCCATCCCCCCAGTGCTTGTGGGCCTCGGGTCTGCTGCCGGCATGTCCAGGCAAGACAAGTCCAGGTTCCCTTATCTGCACATAACGTCTGGTGTAAACACTTGTGAGGCTTGTTGGGGATTCTCCGGGGACCCTTCCTTATCTGCCTAGGCATTTTGCTGTCTCCTCCTAATACAGTATCAGTACTTAGTTTCTTCTTATTGCTGAGTGATATTCCATTGTATGGATACATCAAACAGTTTATTTATCCATTCACCAGGTGATGGACCTTTGGGTTCTTTCCCACCCAAAGGTGATGGACATTTTGGTTCTTTCCACTTTTCACTCTTATTAATAATGCTGCTGTAAACATTTACGTATGAGTTTTTGTGCTTGCATATGTTTTTGATTTTCTGGAGTATATACTCATGACTGGAATTTCTGGGTCATATGGTAACTTCATGCTTAACCTTTTGAGGAGCTGCCAGTTTGTTTTCCAAAGTGGCTGCACCACTTTACATCCCCAGCAGCATTGGATAAGGGCTTTAATTTCTTTACATTTTTCCTAACACTTATTTTCTCTTTTTTATTGAATAAAGGTTTCATCCTGTGGTGTGAAGTGATACCACACGTGGTTTTGATTTACTTTTTCCTAATGACTAATTACATTAAGCATCTATTAATGTGCTTATTATCCATCTTTATATCTTCTTTGCAAATATATCTATTCAAAATCTTTGCCCATTTTTTAAATTGGGTTATCTTGTTATTTATGAATTGCAAAGGTTCTTTATATATCCTACATATGTAAGTCCCTTATCAGATACATGCTTTTCAAATACTTTCTTCTACTCAGTATCTTACCTTTTCACTTCTTGATACTGTCTTCTCAAGCACAGCAGTTTTCAATTTTGAAGTTCATTGAATCCATTTTTCCTTTGGAGTCATAGCTAAGAAAACACTGCCAAATGCAGTCACAAAGATTTATGCCAGGGTTTTCTTCGTACTTTATTTATTTTTTGCATGTGGATATCCAGTTGTCGCAGCACCATTTGTTGAAAAGACTATTCTTTTCCCATTCTGTTCTTTTGTTAACCTTGTATAAAATCAATTGACTGTAAATGTGCAGGTTTATTTGTAGATTATCAATTCTTAGTTTGTTTATATCTATTCTTATGCCAAGGCCAAATTGAATTTAATGAGAAGATTTTTTCAAGCATGTTGCATATTACCAGTTGTCTTATATCATAATAAAAATTAAATTTAGTGGAATATCTTTAACTTCACCTTTTGTGCCTCAAAGGAATCTCTGGCCAGCTTATACCTTACTTACTCTAAGACATGATGGCAAGTCAGGCTTACAAGACACTCTTTCTTTTTTTCTCTATTCAAACCTTTAGTCTCTTTTCCATTGCCTCCCTCTATAGTTATATTTTCAGTAAGTTTTCATCACAGGATCTGCTGATGTAGTCTAATATTTAGTGTATTATGTTTTGCTAACTCATTATAATTCATAGAATCTTCCATAGATGTTTACCATCCAGGAAGGAGAAGTCTGAGCTGCCAGCTTTCCTCAGTGGAAATCATGTGAAGTCATCATGTTGTAGTTCGCAGATCCTCTTTCCACCTGGTAGCTGGTTCTCTTGGGTAGCTCTGCATCTAATCCTTTACTTGGTGCAGATCTTGCATTCTCAGAAACCACAGTTCCCTGTATTGACCTCCTTTTACTGAAACAGAGATGCACAGCTCTGCTTTCTAGCTCAGTAGAGGATTCTTGGGATATAAAGTTTAACTCATTCCAAGAAAAAGTCTTAGGAGTGCAGCACTTCAAAATCAGGTAATGTTCAGGCAATTTATCAGAGACAAATAGTAGATTAGTATTTTGACTTTTGAAATTTCGGAGCCAAGTTGTGTGCTGTAGAGAAGCATTGTGGTATAATACAGAGATGGGATGGTCTTAACTTCTCCATACAAACAAGCTTGAAGTAAGATAAAGGAGAAATTGCATTTGATGTCTTAACACTCAAAGCATATTGTGCTTATTTTACTTCTGTGAAGACTAAAAATCATTCCATAATGTTCTCCTTATTTCCTCATTGAGAAAAGGAAAATGAAAATTGAATACTAGATTGATTAATAAATACTCAAAGCTTATTCTTTTAGAATTTTCATTAACTGAAATCAGGCAAATGTCTGATTTTGGTTATCTAACCAAGTATTTCTAGTTGTTTTTCAAATCATACTTCTTCTTTCTTTGCAGTCTTATTTCCTAACTTGAGGGGAAATTGTAAGGAGACACCCTTGCCTTGTTATCAGAGTTCATAATTGAAGGGGGTTTTAGGAAATGTTCCTCCTCAGCAGCTTATGTCTCTCTCCTGGTTATCTACTGCTTCTCAATAATGTTTGCCATCAATAAATTAATCTCAACATTTATTAGATCCTACTTTAAAGGAGACTCTTTTCTCTGCATAAGTTATGTTTCCTGTTGTCTCTTTTTAAAACTTATTTTTCTAACAATTATCCAGGTTTTTGTGGCTTAAAAGAAAAACATTTATTTTGTTCATGAACCTATGGTTTGAAAAAAGCTTAGCCAGGACAGGTCATCTCTGCTCCCCTCAGCTTCCCTAGGAATAGCTGATCAGTTGGGGAAATGGAATCCTCTGAAGCTTTGCTCACCCATGTGTTTGATGGTTGATGCTGGCCATTGGCTGGAACCTTGGTTGGAGCAGGCAGCATGAATATTGACACTGACACTCCCAGGCTGTCTCTCTGGCCTGATCTCACTCACAATCTGGGGGCTGAGTTCAAAGGGAAAGCAGTCTGAGATAGGGAAGCCACATGATATCCCTTTTACTGCATTCTATTCATTAGAAGGAAGTCAGTAAGGATTGCCCATATTCTGTTTTTTTAATGGGATAAATATAGCTTCTCTTTTGTTTTAATTGACATGTATATACATAATTTTGGCCAATAGAGTGATATTTTGATACATGTATATAGTGTGTAATGATCGAGCTAACTAGCACATTTACTACTTCAACCATTTTTCATTTTTTGAATTGTGAACATTCAAAATCTTCTGCCTTTTTAAAAATATACAATAAATCATAGTTAACCATATTCACCCTACAATGCCACAGAACACCAGAACTCATTCCTCTTATCTAACTGTAATTCGGTATCCATTAACCATCCTCCCCTCCCCTACCTCTGTGAGCTTTTTTGTTGTTGTTAAGAGACAGGGCCTTGCTAGTCCAGTCTGGGCTCTGGGCATCTGTAGTCACCCAGACTAGAGACAGTGGCTTGATCATAGCTCACTGCAGCCTCAAACTCTTGGGCTCATGTGATCCTCTGACCTCACCCTCCTGAGCAGCTAGGATTATGGGCATGCACCATTGCACCTGTCTGATTTTTGACTTTGTAGAGCTATCTACCTATGTTGTCCAGGGTGCTCTGGAACTTTGGCCTCAAGTGATTCTCCTGCCTTGGTCTTTCAAAGTGCTAGGAAATTACAGGCAATAGCCATGTTGCCCAGCCCTCAGTTTTTCTTTAGCTCCCACATATGAGTGAGAATGTGCAGTGTTTATCTTTCTGTGTCTGCACTTAACATACCATCCCTCAGACTGATCCACATGGCCACGAATAACAGGATTGAATTCCTTTATACGGTGAATAGTATTCTACTGTGTTTGTGTGCCACAGTTTTTTGTCCATTCATTTGGTTATGGACATGCAGGTTGATTCCATACATCAGCTATTGTGAATAGTGCTACAATAAACATACGAGTACAGGTATCTTTTTGATCTATTGTTTTCTTTTCTATTGCCTGAATACCCAATAGTGGGTTTGCCGGATCCCTTGGCAGTCCCATTATTAGCTTTTTGAGAAAACCTCATGTTGTTTTCTATAGTGGCTGCACTAATTTACCTTCCCACCAACAGCATGTTAGAGTTTACTGTTCTCTGGAACCTCACCAGCATATGTTATTTTTTTGTCTTTTCAATGATAGCAATTTATTCAAATTGAAGCAAGATTGTATCACATTGAAGATTTGATTTTTATTTCCCTGAGGATTAGTGATACTGAGCGTTTTTAAATTTATTTATTGGCTATTTGTATTTCTTTTTTCTAAAGAAAAGTATAGTTAGATATTTTGCCCAATTTTGAACCCAGATTTTTTTTTACTGTCAAGTTTTTTGAGTTTCTTGTATATTTTGGATACTAGTCCCTTATTAGATGAATAGTTGACAATATTTTCTCCCATTCCACTGGTTTTCTCTTCACTCAGTTTGCTGGGCAGAAGCTCTTTATCTTAATGTAATACCATTTGTCTATCATTTGGTTTTTGCCTATGCTTCTGATGTCTTACCCATAAAAATCTTTGTGCAGACTAATGTCCTCAAGCATTTTTCCTCCATTTACTTAGAGTGGTTTCATAATTTTAGGCCTTAAATGTCAGTCTTCAATCAATTCTGAGTTTATTTCATTATGTGCTGTTACATAGGAAGCTAGTATCATTCTTCTCCATATGGATATTTAGTTTTCCCAGTGCCATTCATTTGAAGAGACTGTCCTTCCCCCAGTGTATGTTCTTGGCACCTTTGTCCAAAATCAGTTGGCTGTAAATATGTGGATTTATTTCTGGGTGTGTATTCTATGGCCTTTACCCCAAGAATCATTACTTCGTAAAATGCAATTCAAATTAGCATGAAACATTTGCAGTTTAAGGAAAGGCTTATGGCATCAGAATCCTTATTTACAGGATTCATTATTTTGTGTTTTTTTGAGATATGGTCTTTGTCTGTCATCCAGGCAGAAGTGCGGTGATGTGGTCATAATTCACTGCAGCCCTGAACTCTGGGTACAAGCCATCCTTTTGCCTCAGTCTCCCAACTAGCTGGGTCTAGAGGCATGAGCCACCATGCCAAGCTAATTTAAAAAAAAAATTTTGTAGACATGGGGGTCTCACTATGTTGCTCTGGCTGATCTCAAATTCTGGCCTCAAGTGATCATTCTGGCACAGGCTTTTAAATTGCTACAATTACAGGAATGAGCCACCATGCCTAGTATAGAGTGTTATATTATTTTCAAAGTCTTATTCTGAGAGCCATTTATTGACTTTGGCCTAAATAACTCAATATGATATCTCTGAAACTTTTTTTTGACATATTATGGGGAATGATAATGAGGGAAGGTGGTTAGACACTTTTTACTAAGAGATAACTTAGTGCCATCTAAGGAGGAACAAAAATGAATTATCAGAAAAATAAAAGTAAGATGAAGTGCAAAAGTTCTGTGGCAAAGATGATGATAGCAAATAATATATTTTTGTGACTCATGGTAGCTTTAACTTTGTTCTTAAAATTCTGAGTAATTTAAGGGTTCACATTTGAAGAATCCACTGCATTACGGATAACATTTTATTGCAAGTAAATGCATTTCAAAATTTGCTATTGGTTTTGTATTAGATTATTCTCAGCCTACTTCATTATCAAGCTATATTATTTTATTCATGCAGTTTGATGATCTTACGGCAGAGAAGGAAGCTTTATCTTCAAAATGTGTCAATTTGGCTAAAGACAATCAAGTTCTTCAACAGGAGTTTTTATCTATGAAAAAAGTACAACAGCAATGTGAGAAACTTGAGGAGGATAAAAAGATGTTGAAAGAAGAAATATTAAATCTTAAGACACATATGGAAAACAATAGGGTAGAACTTAGTAAACTACAAGAATATAAATTGGAGCTAGATGAAAAGGCAGTGCAGGCAGTAGAAAAATTAGAAGAAATCCATTTACAGGTTAGTTTTTTAAATCAGGTAAGTTTATCTGTAATGTGCTTTCATTTATTTCACCGCAAATTATATTTTGGATATGTATATATTATGTTTCCTCTGCCTCTCTTGTAGCAATTTGCTTTGTAGAGTTCTAGAAAAAAAATGGCATCTGTTTTTTCTTTTAAATATTTACATTTCCATTATTATTATAACAAAATCAATCTTTCAGAGTAATGATTCTCACTGTGGAGTCATTTGATGATTAAGATCAGTTGGCATAAGAAACAATTGTGATTTCAAAATTATGTGATACTTTTGAATTGGTCTTAAGCTACATTGTTCATTAATCACTTTTTAAAATTATGAATGGATTCTATTACTTTTTATATGACCAGATTACATTAATACTAACATAATTATGATTTCAAATTTTTATAAATCAGACAATTCTGAATTCAGTTATTAGTTTTGATCTTGCTGATAAATATTTTAAGCTTCAGCCTCTTTTACTAACATATTCACAATTGCTCTTTGAATCACTGACTCAAAATGAAAGGCAACAAACATATAATAATTAGGTTATAATTGTTTTAAAAGTGTATTCTTTTCCTTTGTTTTAGGAACAAGCACAATATGAAAAACAATTAGAGCAGTTAAACAAGGATAATATGGCTTCACTAAATAAAAAGGAACTCACACTTAAAGATGTGGAATGTAAATTCTCAGAAATGAAAACTGCTTATGAAGAGGTTACAACCGAATTAGAAGAATATAAGGAAGCCTTTGCAGCAGCATTGAAAGCTAACAATTCCATGTCAAAAAAATTAACAAAGTAAGTCAAAACATACACTCATAGAAAATGAATTAAGCTCATTAATTTGTTTTGAAAGCATAATTTTTAGTGAGATGGCTTCAGGAGATTAGTAGGAAGTGAATGCTAATCTAATAATGTAATTTCAGAAAATAATGTTAGTAAATAATCTTACCTTTAAAATGTTAGTCAAGGATAGTTTCTGTCCCATTTCTTTCTCTCTCTCTCTCTTTTTTTTTTTGCTTTTGTATGGCTTTTTTCCCCTGAAAAGTCTCATGTAGTTAACCTGATCTGTTAGTTTTTGTCACTAAGTACTTTCGAAGCTTTATAATTAATAATGTGATCTTGTTATAAAATTGCTTGTCAGAATTTTCCTAAATAGAAATATTAATGAGTTTAATTTATTTTTTGGTAGATCACAACCTAAACCCAAAGTTTCAAGTGGTACTGCTACTCCGGGCACAATCATTTTTGATTGTGATCTTTAGTATTATCACTAGAGCGTGCCTCAAGAAAGACTATTTGTGTAACATTTTCAAGATGTTACAGAAAGGCATCCTTGTGAAATAGGGAATAATTATCAAGGAATTTAAAGAAGTGTAATTCACAAAGTGGTTAAAACATAACTAGAAATACCATTTGACCCAGCAATCCCATTACTGGGTGTATACCCAAAGGATTATAAACCATGCTGCTATAAAGACACATGCACACGTATGTTTATTGCAGCACTATTCACAATAGCAAAGACTTGGAAGCAACACAAATATCCAACAATGATAGACTGGATTAAGGAAATGTCGCACATATACACCATGGAATACTATGCAGCCATAACAAATAATGAGTTCATGTCCTTTGTAGGGACATGGATGGAGCTGGAAACCATCATTCTCAGCAAACTATCGCAAGGACAAAAAACCAAACACTGTATGTTCTCACTCATAGGTGGGAATTGAACAATGAGAACACATGGACACAGGAAGGGGGGAACATCACACACCGGGGCCTGTCGTGGGGTGGGGGGATGGGGGAGGGATAACATTTGGAGATATACCTAATGTTAAATGATGAGTTACTGGGTGCAGCACACCAACATGGCACAGGTATACATATGTAACTAACCTGCACGTTGTGCACATGTACCCTAAAACTTAAAGTATAAAAAAAAAAAAACTTGTTCAGCCTGAAGGGGTGTGTGGAAGGCAGAAGGAAAAAGCCCCACCTCCAGTGCCTTGGTCACAGTGCTGGGCGCTAATTGCCTTCAGACATGCTTTAGTTCTTTTTGATCACCAACCAGCCAATCTAGTTCTCCCCCAGGAGTTGTTGTTCTGAATTATTCCTCAGTGCCAAATGCTTAATTGTTCCTAGATAATGGGTGAAATGCACAAGGGTGAAACCTAAAATTTGTTTGCTAAACACAAGTATTCCTAAATTTTTTTGTTGTTGTTCATTTTAGTTTTCTTAACCTACATTAAGGAGTACAACATGATGTTTTGATACAATTATTTCTAGTGAAGTGGTTCTTATAATCAAGCAAATCAACATATTCTTTTCTCACATTGTTACCCTTTAAATATGAGTATTTCTAATGGAATCTTCAGAATCTCACAAGTAGAGCCCTTTTAGAAGGCAGCAAGTGTTACCTGTCAAGCCATATATCACTGATAGCCATTTCTCTTCCCTGTCTACTTTGTTTGTACTGCTTGTTCAGTATAAATCACCTTAGAAACACAGGTGCTTCTTTAGAATGATTTTAAAATTATACTTGCTTACAACAGGTATGCTCTCACACATCTTCAGTGTGAAAACACTGTTTAGTGGATAATTTGGTTTGCTCTCAGGGCAAGTTTTTAAAAACTGCAAGTCATTAAGAATCATTAGAGGAAAAATGAAATACTAAGCGTGTGTCTTTGCTATCTTTACAGATCAAATAAGAAAATAGCAGTGATCAGCATGAAGCTCCTTATGGAGAAAGAGCAGATGAAATATTTTCTCAGTGCTCTTCCTACAAGGCGAGACCCAGAGTCACCTTGTGTTGAAAATCTTACTAGTATAGGACTCAACAGAAAATATATTCCCCAAACACCCATAAGAATTCCTATTTCAAGCCCACAGACTTCAAATAACTGCAAGAACT
The DNA here is from genome assembly GCF_000001405.40 of Homo sapiens. NCBI lineage: Eukaryota > Metazoa > Chordata > Mammalia > Primates > Hominidae > Homo > Homo sapiens. Next base: position 40,284,603 of record NC_000009.12, read on the forward strand.
CTTAGACTGTGGTTAGTTACATGACCATTTCTCTTTTGGGTTTCATTTCTCTAATATAATTCTTGTTTTTAATTTGGTGAAATACTGAATTCTGTTGACTTATGCATGTTTTGTAAAGATCATAATTAGCTGTGTTAACACAGAAAGGAAATGGGAACTTTACATTTTTTAATTCCCTGGAGCTCTCATTTTCAAGAGATACCCGTTTACTAACTTTATTCCATAAATGTGACTAAACTGACACATTTAAAATGTCTTTAAAAGCTGCATTTAAGTTAGGTTTTAGAAATTGCATATTATTGCCTGATAACTGATGATATAGTTTGAGATGCTTTGGCTTACTCTCTAATTGATTATAGTTTAGCTGTGGTTCATACTGCCCCCCCTTTTTTTTAAATTGAGACAGTGTTTCACTCTATTGCCCAGGCTGGAGTGTTGTGGCACCATCTTGGCTCACTGCAACCTCCACCTCCCAGGTTCAAGCGATTTTCCTGCCTCAGCCTCCCAAGTAGCTGAGACTACAGGCACCTGCCATTACACCCAGCTAATGTTTGTATTTTTAGTAGAGACAGGGTTTCACCATATTGGCCAGGCTGTTCTCAAACTCCTGACCTTGTGATCTGCCTGCCTCAGCCTCCCAAAGTGCTGGGATAACAGGCATGAGCTACCACGTCCAGCCCATGTCACTTTTAAAGTTTCTTTGCACCAGCCAGGTGTGGTGGCTCATGTCTGTAATCCCAGCACTTCGGGAGGCTGAGGCAGGTGTGTCACAATGTCAGGAGTTCAAGACCAGCCTGGCCAAGATGGTGAAAGTACAAAAAGTAGAAAAAAAAAATTAGCCAGGTGTGGTGGAGAGCACCTGTAATCCCAGCTACTAGGGAGGCTGAGGCAGAGAATTGCTTGAACCCAGGAGGCGGAGGTTGCAGTGAGCCGAGATCGTGCCACTGAACTCCAGCCTGAGTGACAGGGTGAGACTTCATCTTGAATATAAAAAATTTAAAAAAAAGTTTATTTGCACCATCTCAACTCTTCCCACCCATAATCACAACTGAATGATTGGCATCCAAACAGTTTACCACATATAGATGTTTATTATTTAGTAGAATCCAAAATAATTGCATTTTATGAATTAAACAAAACACTAAAATGTTCATTTCCATTTTTATGTTCAAAGCTTTGTGCTTGGCCAGGTGCCGTGGCTCACACTTACAATCCCAACATTTTGGGAGGCCGAGGCAGGTGGATCACCTGAGGTCAGGAGTTTGAGACCAGCCTGGCCAACATGATGAAACCCATCTCTACTAAAAATACAAAAATTAGCAAGGCATGTTGGCAGGCATGTGTAATCTCAGATACTTGGGAGGCTGAGGCGGGAGAGTCACTTGAACCCGGGAGACAGAGGTTGCAGTGAACCAAGATCATACCACTGCACTATATGGAGACTCTGTCTCAAAAAAAAAAAAAAAAGGTTTGTGCTTTTCTTACATAAGAGTACATCCTCTGACTATAAAAATCCTGGAAGAAAACCTAGGAAATACTCTTCTGGACTTCATACTTCTCAATTAATTTATGGCAAAGTCCTCAAAAGCAATTGCAAGAATAACAAAAATTGACAAGTATGATCTAATTAAGCTAAAGAGCGTCTGCACAGCATGAGAAACTATCACAGGATTAAACAGACAGCGTAGAGAATGGAAGAAAATATTCACAAACTATGGATACAGCAAACGCCTATTATCCAGAATCCATAAGAGATCTAAACAAATCAACAAGCAAAAAATAAATAACACCATTAAAAATGGGCAAAGGACGTGAACAGACACTTCTCAAAATAACACATGTAAGTGGCCAACAAACATATTAACAAATGCTTACCATTGTTAATCATCAGAAAAGTGCCAAACAAAACATCAGTGAGATACTATTTCACACCAGTCAGAATAACTTTTGTTGAAAAGTAAAAAGAAAAAAAAAAAGATGTTGGGGAAGCAGTGGAGAAAAGGGAACACACACCGTTTGTGGCAATGTAAATTAATTCAGCTACTATGGAGAGCAGTTTGGAAATTAAGAACTAAGGATGACCGTTGGATGCAGCAATCCCATTACTATACTAGGGGTATACCTAAAGGACAATAAATCATTGTAATAAAAAGATGCTTGCACATGTGTGTTCATTGCAGCACTATTCAAAGCAGCAAAGACATGGAGTCAATCCAGGTGCATCCAAGGCAGATTGAAAATCCAAGGTAGATTGGAATGTTCCATACATACCATGGAATACTATGCAGCCAAGAAAAGAACAAAATCATGTCCTTTGCAGCAACATGGATACAGCTGGAATCCACTATCCTAAGCAAACTAACACAGAAACAGAAACCAAATATCTCATGTTTTCACTTATGTGGGAGCTACACATTGGGTGCACATTGTCATAAACCTGGGAACAATAGACACTGGGAAATAAGAACAGGGAGGGACAGAGTGGGCCAGGGTTGGAAAACTACTTATTGGGTCCTATGCTTACTACCTGTGTGATGGGTTCCACTGTACTCTAAACCTTGGCATCCCTCAATATTCTCTTGGAAGAAGCCTACACAGGTACCACCTTAATTTAGAATACAAACTAGAAAAAAACAAACAAAAAAAAAAACAAGAAAAATTTACTATTAAAAAAGTTTACTATAAGTAGAGAATAGAAATTTCTTTTTAAGATAAAATTTATTGATGTAAAAAAATTGGATTAAACTTGTATAAAGGGCAGAGTTTTGCTAAGAATTTCAAAGCAATGCATTCATTGAAAAGATGACTTTAATTATTTAATTTTTTTTTTTTTTTGAGACAAGGTCTCACTGTATCACCAGGCTGGAGTGCAGTGGTGCAATCTTGGCTCACTGCAACCTCCACCTCCTGGCTTCAAGCAATTCTCCTGCCTTAGCCTCCTGAGTAGCTGGGACTACAAGTGTGCACCACCATGCCCAGCTAATTTTTGTATTTTTAATAGAGACAGAGTTTCCCCATGTTGGCCAGGATGGTCTCGATCTCCTGACCTCATGATCTGCCTGCCTTGGCCTCCCCAAGTGCTGGGATTACAGGCATGAGTCACCACACCTGGCCATTGTTTAACCTTTGTACTAATAAAACACTACCTTTCTAAAATCATGTATATGCAGTAGACCAATATTAACTGTATTTTTGTCTGATTACTCTAAACAGCATTACACAGGTGCATCCTCTGTTATCTAAACTTAAAATAAGTAGAAATTTTACTTTATTTATGTGATTATTTTTCTATTTAAGCAAACTTCAAGTTATGTCTAGTCACTAAAAATACTAAAGGTCACATTTTGTAAGTGATACATTATTTGCATGATAATGTTTCTTGTTTAACTTAAACATTATTATTATTTTTACTTATTTTAGATGGAGCTGGACTGTGTAGAACAAATAACTAGAGAAACAAAGAGAAGTATGTTGCCAAAATTTATTAATTACATTTAGGTTTATTTTAGAAATTAAGTGTAAATAACAAATGGCATTCCTTTTCATTGTTTGGTTAGTAGATACTATGTCAAGTATTTTTTTTCTTACACACATCTAATGCAAGATGTGAAAACAAAAACTTTCACAGAGAAGACTGTACTTATGCACCATAAATTCATCATGTTCCATAGCTTAAAAAATTCCCAAGAAGTCTGTGCATCTGTTTTTTACTGGCTCTACACTTTCTTAAGTTTTGCCATCATCATGGAACTGTCAGCCAGCACACTGAAACGATTCTCAGAAAACAAAGGCATCACCAAGTTCTCAGGGTTTTGGTACAGATTGAAGGCCAACAGACCTCAGACTCATTTTGAAATTCTTAGCTGGGCAATAACCCTTCATAAGCAGTCACTTGACAGGTGACATTTTAAATCTCCTATCATATACTGTGTCATTGGCTTACATCTGTTCTCAGGAAAAGTTCCAAATTTTTCACCATGAAATAAAAACACCCACGTCAATGTGATTCTTGTCAAGTTACTCAGCCTTGTTTTTTGCCACTTACCGCACTCTACCCTTTGCTCTAGCACCAAAGTGGAGGAGAGTAGAACTCCGCAGGGCTCTTCCTCACCTCAGGCTCTTTGCCTTCGCCTCTTCCCTCTATCTGGCAAGCTTTTCCTTGTCCTTCAGGTATCAACCTATGTTATCTCCTCCACCAGAAAGCCCATGATATTGACATAAAAGTGGGATAGATGTCCCTTTTGTGTGTTCCAGTAGTGCCCTGCTGTATACCTGTCATGGTATCTATGACACTATGTGGACATTGCCTACCTGTCTGTGTTTTTAGGTTATAGCATATGACTATTGGGAGGTGGACCATGCCATCTTCATCTTGGAATTCCAGTGCTGGTTCTAGTACCTTAGCACGTGGCTGTTGATTACATGAATGAAGAATGAAAAACCTCTAATATTTAAACACAATAGAATTAATGCCATGTGTAAATTATTTAATAGTAATTTTGTATTGTAAATGTACATAGATATTTCTCATTCTTACTAACTCTGATAAAGTTCTCAACTCTTTAGTATTTAAACTCACATTTAGTTAACTGAAGTGTTTTAGGTAAAGAACATAATTCTTTCTCTTTCCAGTTGTTGCTGTGTTGAACACTTGCTCCCGTCTACTTACTTCTCTATAATCCACTGGTAAGCCACATCTAATGAAGAGAATGTTTAACCATAAAGTCTTAAGGAAAAATTTTATTATTTAAAAGATTATAAAACTTTATTACTGGGCTGTTTACACAACATTTTAATTGTTTCTCATAAAATATATAACATTACAATCTTTACTGAAGTAGGATGTTTTTGTATCACATGTGTGATGATAATTTATAGGGTAATTTAAATGATGTTTTTTAGCCTCCTTAAGTTTTAAGTGGATCTTGCAAATGAACACCAGTATTATTGAGTTTGACGTACTCAAATTGCCCAAATGCCAGCTGTTTAAACAGCCAAAGAACGAAGTCATCATTGATACTTTAGTAAAGGTCATCGAAGGCTTCTTTGCATTTTACAGCTTTTACTACTTAGGGGAGTTAAGGAGTACCTGCCAGGCTTGTGCATGCTAATGTGACAATTTTCTTTTTGTAGTTGAACCGTATTTTGTGGGGAGATACTTTGAGGCTCTGTAAATATCCAGTTACTCCCAGAACCCACTAGATTTAGCATTTCATGGATGACTTGTGTTTGAACAATTATTACTATGATGGTTGCCAGATGATTATTTTCTTCTCTTCTTTGCTGTACCTGGAGAAGTAAAACCAATAAATAACTGAGAAGGGAAAGCTCATGATTCTGGTGCTCCAATTCCCCAAGATTAGGCCAGTGGTAGACATTTCAAGCTGACTTCTTGTCTTTTTTATTTGTCTTCGTTACTCTGTCAGCACTTTTTTAGTTTCAGGAACAAGATGTTCTAAGCTAATGTTGTATTTTCTCTGCTCCAGCCATGGAATGAGTGATTTTTCTTAGAAGCAGAGGTGGAGCCACTGAGGAAGCACAGGCGAGCCCTCCCCAGCACGTGCTCACTGGTCCCCAACAGAACAACCGCTGCCGCATCCATGAGGTACCAAGAAACTAGCAAAGGGCCTTCTGGCTGTCTGGGCACAGTCCTCATGTGGTCCCTGGCTCAGCCTCAAGGGTCCTGCATTAGTCTTCCTGTAGCCTCTGTGCTGTGTCTGTAGATCGGGACTCTGTGGGAAGGGCCCTGGGATGCCCAACAGCACAAGATGTCTCATCTGCCAAATGTCCCTGCCTTCCTCCCACTCTGACACTCAGGAATAGGCTACATGGCATGTCCAGGCAGTGCCAGGCCACCTCACTATCTCCTTTGAGATTGGCCCAGAGGGCTTTTGGGGTGAGTGTGGAGCTGGGCACCTGGAGCCTGAGGCCAGCTGTCTCTCCCTCTGTCTTGGAGGAAAAGCCATGTCCCAAAAAAAACCCCAGGGCCTGACCTCTGGACACACATACAGGGAGGGAGGGTCTGTGGGCTGAGGGGGGCATTGTAATGAGACTTTGAGCACGCTGCTCAGGGGCCTGGTCAGTGGACCATGCTCAGAGATGACCTGGTCATTAGGACCTAGTCAGTTGGGACCTGGTTAGTGGTGGCCTCCTCAGTAAAGGCCTCCTCAGTGGGGACCTGGTGACCTAGTCATTGGAAGCCCGGTTCATGGGGACCTGGTCACTGATGGTCTTCTTAGTGAGGCCTGATGGGCTGGAACATAAACAATGAAAAACTGGTGGGGCCTATGCAGTATACTAGGGGCCTGGTCAGTGTGGGGCCTTAGTGGCTTGGAGCCTCGTCAGTGAGGGTCTGGTCAGAGGGGGCTCGGTCAGCTGGGGACTGATCCATGGAAAATTGTTTAGTGGGGGTCAGGTGAGCAGCGACCTGGTCAACTGTGGTCTTGTCAGTGGGAACCTGGTCAGTGGGGACCAGGTCAGTGGGAAATTGGTCAGTGAGGTCTGGCCTATGAGGCCTATTAAGTGTGAGCCTGGTTAGGAAGACATGGTCAGTGGGGACTTGGTCAGTGGGAACTGGTAAATGGAGGAGTGGTCATTAGAGGCCTCATCAGTGGGAAACTGGTCCTGGGCGGCTGGTCAGTAGGAACCTGGCCAGCTGGCCACTGTGTGACCTCAGGCAGGGGGTTTGTCTGTGGAGTCTCCTTGCCTCCATCTGCAGGGAAGGTGAGTCAGGGCACCTTGGAGGGTGGCTGGAAAGAGAAGGTGAGAAGATGTGTTGAATCCAGCACCACTTGGCAGACCTACAACTTTACACATGACCTGTGTGCCACCTAGAGGGGGTCCCAGCCCTCTCTGCTGTGCCTGGTGCCCCTCCTCTCTCTGCATCCCCAGGACCACCATGGGTGGGGAAGGCAGAGATTGGGGAGCACCTGTAGAAGCTCTAATGCTGGCCATGAGCCCTCGGTGATGACCTGGGTGCACCTGTGAGTGGAGAAGCTAGGCCTGGCCAGAGAAGCAAGAGAAACACACACACACATATGTGCACACACACACACAGGCACACACGCATGCACAAACACACTGCATCCACACATGTCAGTTCAGGGGATAGAGGACACTGACTCTGGGCGCTGTTGACCCATGCAGGCTCCCATTGTGGTGGGTTGTGTCACCCCACAATGTCACTGTTGCTGAGCCCCCATCGCCTCTGTGTTGTGGAGCAGTTAGAGACACACTGTGGTGTCTGAGTGGCTCTGCGTGAAGGACCGTTTTCTAGGTGAGAGGCACATCTCAACACAGCTGACTGATCAGACTCAGGTGAGTGGGACCTGCTCTCTTCTCTTGCTCCTAGCTTGGGGACAGTCGCTATCAGTTGGGTGGTTTTGGCCTCTGAGCAGCTACTGAGGGTAATCCCTGAACACTCACCGGATGCCTATTCTGTGCTGACAGTCATCTCGTTCATCCTCGCAGCAATTCCATTCTGCATCTTTTCTGATCACCCCCGTGATTACCCAGGACAACCCCATCAGGCCCTCTCACCCAGGCCCAGTCCAGCTCCATGATAACAAAGACGCAGGTCCAGAGACAACTGCCCTGCATGGTGCCTGCATCTGACCCCCCTTGGTGGGTAGTGACCAGCACGACATGGAAGAAGCCAGGGCAGCATGCAGCCAGCTGCCCTGCAGCCCCAGATGGCTCCTAGGCCTTGGGAAGTCATTCTCAAAGGGGAAGCTGGTCATTTTGAGGTCCCTGGAGGGAAGGGTGAATGTGTCATCCCAACAGCCCTGGAAGCCAGCAGCATGCCATACATCTTACCCAACCTGTGTGACAGAGGCCCCCTCCTGGGGCACAAGTCCCATACCTAAAGGGTCCTGTCCTAGTTGAACCTCATCCTGAGCCCTGGGAGGGGAGGAGCACCATGGGCCTCCCTGCAGCAGCCAGGATTACCACCCAGGGGACTCAGCCTTCTGTGGCCCTGGCCAGAGTTAGAATTTGGCCCAAGACAAGACAAGCTCACTCGGAGCAGCTTGTCAGTACCCGGGGCCTGTGCATGCCAAGTAAGTCCAAGCTGGCTCAAAGAGCAACCAGCCACCTCTGCAAGGGTGTGCCAGGAGCAGGTGGACCAGCCACCAACCTCACCCACTCAAGGAAACAGGGATGGCCAGGTTCCCACACCCTGAGTGACCACCACCTGACAGCTGATGAAGTGGAGGCCTGAGGAAAAGCAGATGGCACTGGGGCCCTACCTCCAGGGCAGAATAACTGATTTACCCCGATTGGCAGCAAGTGAGGTTGGTGGCTGGTCCACCTGCTCCTGGTACACCCTTGCAGAGGTGGCTGGTTGCTCTTTGAGCCAACTTGGCCTTGCCTGGCATGCACAAGCCTCAGTTCAACAACTGTGCTGCAAATGGAGCCACATAGAGGAAATGAGCAGCAGCCTCAGGAGCAGGGTTTGCGCTGCCTTTGGGGCTCCAATCCATGCATCAGGGCTCCTACAGCACTGTGGGCTTCTTGGGTGCCAAGAGGCAGACCACAGGCCCTCTTGAGGAGGATTCTATGTTCAAGTGCAGAAAGGGCCCAATCTGGTGGATGAACCACATGGCCAGCTTCTGGGTGCAGGCACAGTGCCACATCTTCCATCACTTCCTGATGTGCCACACCAGCACTGAAGAGACAGCCTGGAGACAGGGCAAGAGGAAGGCTGAGAAGGATGAGATGGTGAGTGCCAGATTCTCCCTGGCTCTGAGCCCACCTCCAGGGTGACACTCAAACTTTAGGAGTGGGAGAGCAAGATTGACAGCTTCAAATGCTTCACCAAGAAGATGAACAACAGGGCACTCGGCTCAACTTCACAGCCAATGAGTTGACATGCAAGCAGGTGATGGTGACAGGCTTTAAGAAGGAGCATCAGAAGGCTGCCAGTTCTTCAGCCTCAGCCAGGCCTTGGAGCTGGACCAGCCCATCCACTTCACCACAGATGCCTTCAACACTGTCAGTGAGCTCTTTGCCAATCATCCCAGGCAGAACCTGGACCCAGTCATGGACCTGTTAGTGCTGTCTCAGGGACACCAGACCAACATCCTGAACATCATCCACATACACAAGCAAGTTCTTACCAAAGTCGCGGAGGACAGGCAACATGTGGCAGAAGGGAAGATAGAGATGCAGAGGCTGATGACACCAGAATCACAGGAACAGGAATTCTTTCACCACTTCAGTGGAAATTCACCACTTCCATCCAATTTGAATGAGAGACATGAAATCACAGATGCAGCATTTCTTGCAACAAGAGATACTATTTTTTCAAAAATCATCCAGGAATTGATAATGTTGAATGACTAGATATTTGATTGTGGACTGTTTCCAGTTCAAGGATACTTTCTACACAGAATAATAACACTAGCAAGGAGCTAGTGCCAGCTATCCGTGGTAGCACAAGGATGGTTTTGTGCTCAACTGAAATCCAGCTGAATACAGAATTGTGTAGGAAACAGTTAATATGTTGACAGAATAGAAACAGTAGCAAACATGAACTAAATCATGCCATGAATGCCTAAACTACCATTGGGACTTTTGGAAGAATGATAATACCACTTTACTGCTCTTTGAAGTATGAATATTTTAGTGTATATGCTGTAGACCACAAACCCTATAAAGAGTCCCAAATAAGTTGGCTGGATAAAGCCTGCTGTGCATGTCTTTATACTCAAAGACTGATGATGCAATTCGAATATGTGTCCCCACCAAATCTCATATTTAATTATATTTCCTAATGTGGAAGGTGGATCCTGGTATAAGGCAATTGATTTATGAAGGCAAATTTCTCATGAATGGTTCAGCACCATCCCCTTGTACCATCCTCACAATCATGAGTGACTTCTCGTGAGATCTGGCCACTGAAAACTATGTCACCTCCCTACTCTGCGTGTTTTCCTCTTGCCATGTGAGACAACTCACTCTTTCTTTGCCTTGTACAAAGATTGAAAGATTTCTGAGGCCTCCCAGAATCAGAAGCCCTGTGCTTCCTGTCCACCCTGCAGAACCATGAGCCAATTAAACCTCTTTTTCAAAATGAATCAAACAGAAAATGGCAAATGACGATTGCAGCATTGCTATAAAGATACCTGAAAATGTGGAAGCAGCTTTGGAACTAGGTAATGGGCAGAGGTTGGAAGAGTTTGGAAGTCTCAAAAGAAGACAGATGAGAAAATTTTTGGACTATCTTAGAGACTGGTTAAATGGTTGTGATAAAAATCCTGGCACAAACATGGATAGTGAAGGCCAGGCTGAGGAGGTCTCAGATAGAAATAAGAAGCTTTCTGGAAAAGGTCTTCCTTTTGAATATGGAAAGCTTACACAATGCCTGTACCATCATTATACGTTAGAAGCTGTGAGCTTGCTTTTTAATTCAGAGGCTCATAGGAAAAAGAGACCGTAGCCTTGACTCAGATGAGATTTTGGACTTTGTAAGTTTGAGTTAATGCTGAAATGAGTTAAGACTCATTCTGGCAAGGCATGATTGTATTTTGCAATGTGAGAAGGACATGATATTCATGGGATCAGGGACAGAATAATATGGTTTGTCTCTGTGTCCGTATCAAAACCCATGTGGAATTATACTCCCTAATGTTAGAGGTGGGGCCTAGGTGGAAAAAGATTTAGTTATAAAAGGGTGCGGGTAGGTTCTCCACGAATGATAAAGGACCATCACCTTGATGCTGTCCTCCTGATAGCGAGTGAGTTCTCATGAGATCTGGTTGTTTAAAAGGCTGTGGAACCTCTTTCCTCACTCTGTCTTCCTCCTACTCCTGCCTTAGGAGGTATCTCATTGTCTTGGCTTTTGGTATAATTAGGAGGCTTCTTGATTCCTCCCAGAAACGGAAGACACTATGCTTCCTTCACAGCTTGCAAAACCATGATTCAATTAAACCTCTTTCATTTACAATAATAGAGAAAATTAGAACTGCCGAGAGAGCTGTGCATGTCTTCAAGGCCTTTTTTCCCTTTGTCTTGGCTATTAGCACAGGGCTTCTTTATATGCAAATTTCTGAAGTCTTCTTGAATTTTTCCCCTTAAATGGGGTTTTGTGTTATTGCTACATAGCCAACCTGCTATAGAGATACCTGAAAAAGTAGAAGCAGGCTCAGTAGTGGGTAGCAAACAAAGATTGGGAGGGTTTGGAGGGATTAGAGCATGACAGAAAGATGAGGGAGAGGGAGGAAGTGATTTAATCATGGATGGGCAGGGGTGGGTGTGGATGGAAAAAGGGGTGGGTAGGGTGGGAATGAGTAGGCTGGCTGTAGGGTGGTGGGAGGGTCGTGGGTAGTAGGAAGGGGGAGTAGCGTGCTGCAGAGGCAGAGCCTCATGTAAAACCATTACTAGGGCAGTGCACCTGTGGCTTTGCAGGTTTGAGCCCCCATGGATGCTCTCATGGACTGGACTAGTGTTCAGTGCCTGTAGCTTTTCCACACTGAGGGTGTAAGCTGTTGGTGGGTCTCTAAATCTGGGGTCTGTAGGGTGGTAGCCCTGTGTGGGGGCTCCAAGTCCGTATTTTCCTTCTGCACTGCCCTAGTAGAGGTTTCCCAAGAACTCTGCGTCTGCAGCAGGCTGCTGCCTGGAAACAGTGGGAGGTGGGGGTGGGAGGCAGATCCTTCACCAATGGTTAAGCAACATCTTCTTGATGCTGACCTAGTAACAGTGAGTTCTTATGAGATCTGGTTATATAACAAGGTGTGGCACCTCTTTCCTCTCTCAGTCTTGCTTCTATTCCAGCCATATGAAACATCTCCTTGCCCCTTGGCCTTCTGGTATGGTTGTGAGGCTCCCTGAGACGTCCCAGAAGCAGAAGCCACTCTGCCTCCTTTACAGCCTGCTGAACCATGAGCCAATTAAACCTCTTTTCTTTATGATCATACAGAAAATTAGTGCTATGAAGTGGAGCTATGAAGTGCCTTCAAGGCCCTTTCCCCTTTTCTTGGCAACCAGCACTCAGCTTCTTTTCATGCAAATATCTGGAGCCTTCATGAATTTTGCCCCTGAAAGTGGACATTTCTTCTTTTACCACACGGCCAGGTTGTGATAAAGATAGCTGACAATGTAGAACCAGGTTCAGAAGTGGGTAAAAGACAGAGGTCAGGAGAGTTGGGAAAGCTTGGAAGACAGCAAGATGAGGAAAATTTGACCACTGTAGAGAATTGTTAAATACTTGCGATCAGAAGGCTGACAGAAGGATAAACACTGAAGTCCAGACTTAAAAGGTCTCAGATGAAGATTAGGAATTTCCTGTGAACAGGAGCCATGGTTACATTTGATTGGCCTTAGCAAAGAACGTGGCTGCACGGTGACCCTGCCCTGGACATCTATGAAACTATGAATTTGGGGGTGATGATTTAGGATGTATCTGGTGGAATGAACATCTAGGCAGCCTAGCGAGGTGTCCTGTCTGCATTGAATAGCCTGTGTTCTTATGCGTGACCTAAGAAATGACTTCAAGTTGGAACTTCTATTGAAATGAGAAGTGGAGACCTAAAGTTTGGAAAATCTGCAGCCTGGCCAAGTGGTCAAAAAGAAAAGCTGATTTTCCGGGGGAAAATTCAAGGAGGCTTAGAGTATCTGCATAAAAAGAAGCCCAGTGCAAATAGCCAAGACAATGGGAAAGAGGCCTCGAAGGCATTTCACAGTCCTCTGCAGCAGCCCTTGCTGTCACAGGCCCCCATACAGGGAGGCATCATTCTCCAAACCCCAGATTCATAGACCCACAAACAGCTTGCACCCTCAGTATGGAAAAGCTACAGGCACTCAACACCAGCCCTGTCCATGACGGCAGCTACAGGGGCTGAACACTGCAAAGCCATAGGTGCAGATCTGCCCAAGGCCTAGGAAGACCAGCCCTCATACCCCTGTGCCATGGATGTGGGACAGGGATTCAAAAAGGATGATTCTGGAGCTGTAGGATTGAGTGACTGGCCTGCTGGGTTTTGGACATTTATGTATCCTATGAATCCCATCTGTGTTTTGTGCTTCTTTCCAGCAATTTTTTTTTCTATTGGTTGAGAATGCTTACCCATTGCCTGTACAATCATTGTAGCTTGGAAGTAGTTAAGTTGTTTTATAATTCACAGACTCATGGCAGAAGGGACTGTAGACTTGTCTCAGATAAGACTTTGGGCTTTGGATATTTGAGTAAATGCTGTAATGAGTTAAGATTTGGGGGACTGTAGGGAAGGCATCATTGTATTTTGCAATGTGAGAAAGACATGAGATTTGGGGGACCCGGGACAGAGTAATATGATTTGGCTCTGTACCTCTCCCAAAACTCATGTGGAATTTTAATGGGGAATGTTAAAGGTGGGGGCTGCTGGAAGGTGATTTAATCATGGTGGAGAGTGGAGGTTGGATGGGAGGGATGGGGAGAGTTGGAGGGTATTGAGGGGGTGGGGAGAGTTGGGGGGGATTGTGTTTGGGTTTATGGGTAAAAGGCAGGAGTGGGGGTGGATCCTTCACAAATGGGTAAACACCATCTCCTTAATGCTGCCCTTCTGAGAGTGAGTTCTATTCATGATTTTGGAGCTGTGAGATTGAATGAACAGTGTCCTGCTGGGTTTTGGATGTGCATTGGGCCTGTGGTCCCACTTGTGTTATTTTTCTTGGAAATTTCTTCCCTTTGGATTGAGAAAACTTACCCAATACCTGTACCATCATTGTACCTAGAAAGAAATGAATGCCCTTTTAACTTCAGGGCCTCATAGGCAGAAGAGACTGTAGCCTGATCTCAGATGAGACTTTTAACTTTTCACATTTGAGTTAGTGTGGAAATGAGTTAAGGCTTTTGGAAACTTTTGAAAAGATGTGATTGTATTTTACTGTGTGAGAAGGACATGGGATTTGGGGGGGTCAAGGTCAGCATAATATGATTTGGCTGTGTGCCTCTAGAAAAACTCACATGGAATTGTAATCCCAAATGTTGGAGGTGGGGCCTGGTGGGAGATTATTTAATCATGGATGGGAGGTGTGGGGGTGGAAGAAAAAAGGGGTGGGTAGGGTGGGGAACAGTATGCTGGCTGTAGGGTGGTCGGAGGGTGGTGGGTAGTAGGAAGGGGGAGTAGCCTGCTGCAGAGGTAGAGGCTCATGGAAAACCTCTACCAGGGCAGTGCACCTGTGGCTTTGCAGGCTTTAGCCCCCATGGCTGCCCTTATGGGCTGGGCTGGTATTGAGTGTCTATCACTTTTCCAAACTGAGGGTGTGAACTGTTGGTAGGTCTACGAATCTGGGGTCTAGAGGATGGCGGCTTCCTGCAGAGCGACTCAAAGCCCTTGTTTTCCTTCTGCACTGCCACAGAACAGGATTTCCAAGAGGCTCTGCCTCTGCAGCAGGCTTCTGTCTGGAAACAGTAGGGGGTGGAGGTGTGTTGGGGGGTGGATCCTTCACCAATGGTTAAGCACCATCTTCTTGATGCTGACTTAGTGATAGTGAGTTCTCATGAGATCTGGTTGTATAACAGGCTGTGGCACCTCTTTCCTCTGTGAGTCTTGCTCCTACTCCTGCCGTATGAAACATTTCATTGCTGCTTTCCTTCTGGTATGATTGGGAGGCTTCCTGAGTCTTCCCAGAAGCAGAAGCCACCATGCTTTCTTTACAGCCTGAAGACCCATGAGCCAATGAATCCCCTTTTCATTATGACCACACAGAAAATAAGTACTGCAAAGTGGAGCTATGAAATATCTTCAAGGACTTTTCCCCATTGTCTTGGCTGTTAGCACTGGGCTTCTTTTTAATGCAAATATCTGAAGCCTTCTTGAAGTTTCCCCTGGTGGAGAGTGGAGGTTGGATGTGTGGGAAGGGGACAGTTGGAGGGTATTGGGAGGGTGGGGAGAGTTAGGGGGGATTGTGTTTGGGGTTACAGGTGAAAGGCAGGAGTGCCAGGCTGCAACAAAGATAGCTGAAAATGTAAAGCGGTTCAGAAGTCGGTAACACCAGAAGTTGGAGAGTTTGGAGAGCTTGAAAAAAGACAGGAAGATGAGGGAAAGTTGGGACCATTGTAGAGACTTGTTAAATAGTTTTGATTAGAATGCTGACAGAAGGAAGGCCAGGGAAGGCCAGGCTTACAAGGTCTCAGATGAAAATGAGGAACTTACTGGGAACAGGAGCCATGGTTACTTTTGTTTTGCTGTAGCAAAGAACGTGGCTGCAGGGCGACCTTGCCCTTGAGATCTGTGAAACTTTGAACTTGAGGGTGATGATTTAGTGCATATCTGGTGAAATGAACTTCTAGGCACCATAGCACAAGAGGGATCCTGTCTGCATCAAACAGTCTGTGCTGTTATGTGTGACCAAGGAAATGACCTCAAGTTGGAACTTATATTTAAATGATAAGCAGAACTCAAAAGTTTGAAACATTTGCAGCCTGGCCAGATGGTCAAAGAGAAAAGCTGATTTTCAGGGGGAAAATTCATGAAGTCTCCAGAAATTTGCATAAAGTGGAGGCCAGTGCTAATAGCCAAGACAATTGTGGGGAAAAGGCTTGGAGGCATTTCAGAGATGTTTGCAGCAGCCCTTGCTGTCACGGGCCTTGGGACCTAGGAGAGAAGAATGGTTTCCTGGGCCAGCCCCATGGCCCTGCTGCTGTGTGTAGCCTCAGGACACTGCTGCCTGCATCCCAGCAGCCCCAGCTCCTGCTCCGACCTTGGCTGAAAGATGTACAGGTACAGCTTGGGTCACTGCCTCAGAGGGTGCAAGCTATAGGCCTTGGTTGCTTCTACATAGTGTTAAGCCAGTGGGTGCACGGAGCACTAGTCTAGAGACTTGGGAGCCTCCATATATATTTCAGAAGATGTATGAAAATGCCTGGTGTCCAGACAGAAGGCTGCCAAAAAAGCAGAGTCTCATGGGAAACCTCTACTTGGGCAGTGCAGAAGGAAAATATGAGGTTGGAGCCCCCACACTGGAGGCCACCATCGTGCAGACCCCAGATTCATAGACCCATCAAAAGCTTCGTACCCTCCATGGGTTAAAAACTCCAGGCACTCAACACCAGCACAGCCCATGAGGGCAGCTGCGGGGGCTGAACACTGCAAAGCCACAGGTGCAGAGCTGCCCAAGGCCTTGGGAGCCCACCCTCATGCCCTTGTGCCCTGGATGTGGGACAAGGATTTAAAAAGGATGACTTTGGAGCTGTAGGTTTGAATAAGTGGCCTGCTGAGTTTCAGAATTTTGTGGGACTTGTAAGTCCTGTTTGTGTTTTGTTCTTCTCTCTGGCAAAAATCTTCCTTTTGGGTGGAGATTCTTACTAAATGCCTGGACAATCGTACCTTGGAAGTGGTTAACCTGCTTTGTATTTCAGAGGCTCAGGGGCAGAAGAGACTGCAGCTTTGTCTCAGTTGAGACTTTGGGCTTCAGACATTTGAGTAAATGCTGGAATGAGTTAAGACCTTGGGGGTCTTATCCAAGACGATGGGGAAAAGTCACTGAAGGCATTTCATAGCTTAACTTCACAGTACTAATTTTTTGTGTGTTCATAACAAAAAGGGGTTTAATTGGCTTATAGTTCTGCAGGCTGTAAAAAAAGCATAGTGGCTTGGGGAAATGGCAGGTAATGCATCATTTCATTTTGCAAAGTGAGAAGGACATGAAATCTGGGTAGGCAGGGACAGAATGATAAGATTTGGCTGTGTGTTACAGAAACTTATCTGGAATTTTAATTGGAAATCTTAAAAGTGGGGCCAAGTTGAAGGTGATTTAATCATGGAGGGCAGTGGGTGTTGGAAGGTGGGGATTGGGGAGAATGGGTGGATTTTGGTGGAGGTGAGGGGTGAAAGGTAGGGTTGGAGGCAGGATCCCTCACAAATGGTTAAACACTGTCTCCTTAATGTTTTCCTCACGATGGTGAGTTCTCGTGATGGTTTTGGAGCTGTGAGATTGAATGGATACTGGCCTTCTGGGTTTTGGACTTGTGTTGGCCCTGTCATCTCATTTGTGTTATTTTCCTGGCAATCTCAAACCCTTTGGATTGAGAAAACTTGCCCAATGCCTCTACCATCATCATACCTTGAAAGAAAAGAACTCCCTTTTAAATTCAGGGACTCATAGGCAAAAGGGACTGTAGCCTTTTCTCAGGTGAGACGTTGAACTTTTTACATTTGAGTTAATGTTGAAATGACTTAAGACTTTCAGCAACTTTTGAAAAGGCGTGATTGTATTTTACTCTGTGAGAAGGATATGATATTCAGGGGATCAGGGTCAGAATAATATGGTTTAGCTGTGTATCCCTACCTAAACTCATGTGGAATTGTAATCCTGAATGTTGCAGGTGGGGCCTGGTGGGAGGTGATTTATTCATGGATGGGAGAGGGGTGGGGTTGGAAGTACAAAGAGGTGGGTTAGGTGGGGAGGAGTAGGTTGGCTGTAGGGTGGTGTGAGGGTGGCATGTTGTGGGAGGGGAGTAGCCTGCTGCAGAGGCAGAGGCTCATGGGAAACCTCTACTAGGGCAGTGCACCTGTGGCTTTAGCCCCCATGGCTGCTCTCATGGGCTAGGCTGGTGTTTAGTGTGTGTAGCTTTTCCATACTGAGCGTGCGGGCTGTTGGTGCATCTATGAATCTGGGGTCTGGAGGATGGTGGCCTCCTGCATAGGGGCTCCAAACCCATATTTTCCTTCTGCGCTGCCCTAGTAGAGGTTTTCCAAGAGGCTCTGCCTCTGTCTCAGGCTTCTGCATGGAGACAGTGAGGGGTGGATATGGGGTGGGGGGCAGATCCTTCACCAATAGTTAAGCATCGTCTTTGTGATGCTGATCTCCTCATAGTGAGCTCTCATGAGATCAAGTTGCATAACAGGATATGGCACCTCTTTCCTCTCGCTGTCGTGCTTCTGCTCCTGCTATATGAAACACTTCATTGCCGCTTGGCCTTCTGGTATGGTTGTGAGGCTTCCTGAGTCCTCCTAGAAGCAGAAACAACTATGCTTTCTTTACAGCCCGAAGAACTGTGAGTCAATTAAACCTCTTTTCTTTATGTATATACAGAAAATCAATGCTGCAAGGTGAAGATATGAAATGCCTTCTAGGCCTTTCCCGCAATCTCTTGGCTGTTAGCACTGTTTTTTTTAATGCAAATATTGGAGGCCTTCTTGATTTTTCCCTTGATAATGGACCCTTCTTCTTTTACCACATTGCCAGGCTGTGACACAGATAGCTGACAATGTAGAAGCCAGTTCTGAATTGGGTAATGGCCAGAGGTTAGAGAGTCTGGAGGATGGTAACCTCTTGTGTGGGGCCACCAAGCCTTTTTTTTTGTTTTTTGTTTTTTTTCTGCTTTGTCCTAGTAGAGGTTTTCCTAGTAGCTCTGCCTCTGCCTCAGGCTTCTGCTTGGAAACAGTGGGGGTTGTGGGTGGTAGGGGGCAGATCTTTCACCAATGGCTCCACCAATGGTTAAGCATTCTTGATGCTGACCTTGTGTTAGAGAGTTCTCAGGAAATCTGGTTGTATAACAGGGTGTGGCACCTTTTTCCTCTCTCTGTCTTGTTTCTACTTCTGCCATATAAAACATACTATTGGTGCTTGGTCTTCTGGAATGATTGGGAGGCTTCCTGAGTCCTCCCAGATGCAGTAGCCTCTATGATTTATTTAAAGCGTGCAGAACCATGAGCCAGTTCAACCTCTTTTCTTTCTGATTATACAGAAAATTAGTGCTGTGAAATGGAGCTATGAAATGCCTTCAAGGCCTTTTCCTTATTTTCTTGGCAATGAGCACTCAGCTTCTTTTCCGGCAAATATCTGAAGCCTGCCTGAATTTTTCTCCTGAAACAGACTTTGCTTCTTTTACCACATTGCCAGGCTGCAACAAACATAGCTGAAAATGTAGAAGCAGGTTGAGAAGTGTGTAACGGCCAGAGGTTGGAGAGTTTGGAGGTGTTGGAAGAAGACAGGAAGATGTGGAAAAGTTTGGACCAGTGTAGAGACTTGTTAAATAGTTATAATTAAAAAGATGACAGAATGATGGACAGTGATGGCCAGGCTTAGAAGGTCTCACATGAAAATGAGGAGCTTGCTGGGATGAGGAGCCAAGGTCACTTTTGTTTTCCCTTAGCAAAGAACGTTACTGCACGATGCCGTTAACCTGGAGATCTGTGAAACTTTGAACTTGAGAGTGATGATTTAGAGTGTATCTGGTGGAATGAACTTTTAGGCAGCAAAGCTCAAGAGGTGTCTGGTCTGTGCCAAACACCCTGAGGTGTCTTATATGTGACCAAAGAAATGACCTCAAGGTGAAACTTATATTTAAATGAGACGGAGAGCTTAAAAGTTTGGAAAATTTGCAGGCTGGCCAAGTGGTCAAAAAGAAAAGCTGATTTTCCGTGGGAAAGTTCAAGAAGATTTCAGAAATGTGCATAAAATGGAATTGAGTGCTAATAGCCAAGACAAGGATAAAAAGGCCTTGAAGGCACTTCAGAGACTTTTGCAGCAACCCTTGCTGTCACAGGCCCCCAGGCCTGGGAGAAAAGAATGATTTCCTTATCCAGTCCCATGGCCCTGCTGCTGTGTCCATCCTCAGGACACTGCTGGCTGCATACCTGAAGCTCCAGCTCCAACCATGGCTGACAGATACAAAGGTACATCTTGGGTCGCTGCTTCAGAGGGTGCAAGCTGCAAGCCTTGGTGGCTTCCACATAGTGTTGAGCCAGCAGGTGCAAAAAGGCCAAGACTAGAGGCTCAGAATCCTTCATGTAGACTACAGAGGATTTACAGAAAAACCTGGGTGTCCAGGTCGAAACTATTCAAAGAGGCAGAGCCTCATGGGAATCCTTTACTAGGGCAGTATGGAAGGAACATATAGGGTTGGAACCACCACACAGGGAGCACCATTCTGAAACGTCAGATTCATAGACTCACTAACATCTTGCATCTTCATTGTGGAAAAGCTACAGGTGCTCAACACTAGCCCAGCCCATGAGGGCAGCTGCGGGGGCTGAACACTGCAAAGCCACAGGTACAGAGCTGCCCAAGGCCTTGGGAGCCCAGCCCTCACGCCCTTGTGTCCTAGATGTGGGACAAGGACTTAAAAAGGATGATTTTGGAGCTGTAGGTTTGAATAACTGGCCTGCTGGGTTTTGGAATGTCATGGGAACCTGTAAGTCCCGTTTGTGTTTTGTTCTTCTCTCTGGCAAAAAATCTTCCTTTCGGGTGGAGGTTCTTACTCAATGCCTGGACAGTCATACCTTGGAGGTAATTAACTTGCTTTGTATTTCAGAGGCTCAGGGGCAGAAGGGATGGCAGTCTTGTCTCAGAAGAGACTTTGGGCTTTGGACATTTCAGTAAATGCTGGAATGAGCTAAGACATTGGGAAACTGTAGAGTAGGCATCATTGTATTTTGCAGTGTGAGAACAACATGAGATATGGGGGGTCAGGGTCAGAATAATACGATTTGGGTCTGCATCCCTACCAAACTCATTTGGAATTGTAATGGTGAATGTTAAACGTGGGGCCTGGTGTGAGGTGATTTATTCATGGAGAAGAGTGGGCGTTGGAGGTAGGGGTGTGGGGAGAATGGGGGAGATTATTTTGTGGGTGGGGGTAAAAGGTAAGGGTAGGGGGGCAGATCCTTCACAAATGTTTAAACACTATCTCCTTAATGCCGCCTGCGTGATAGTGAGTTCTCTTGATGATATTTGCAGCTGTGGGATTGAGTGAATACTGTCCCGCTGAGTTTTGGACTTGTGTTGGGCCTGTGGGCCCATTTGTGCTATTTTTATGGGAAATTTCTTCCCTTTGGACTGAGAAAGCTTACCCAATGCCCATACCATCATTGTACCTGGAAAGAAAAGAACTCCATTTTAAATTCAGGGACTCATAGGCAGAAGAGACTGTAGCCTTGTCTCAGGAGAGACTTTGAACTTTTTTACATTTGGAATGAGTTAAGACTTTTGGAGATTTTTGAAAAGTCATGATTGCATTTTGCTCTGTGATAAGGACATGAGATTCTGGGATATCAGGGTCAGAATAATATGGTTTGGCTGTGTGTCCCTATGAATCTCATGCGGAATCGTAATCCCTAATGTTGAAGCGGGTGACTTAATTATGGACGGGAGGTTGGTGGTGGTGGAAGGTAAAAGGGATGGGTAGGATTGGGAGGAGTGGGTCGGTAGTAGAGTGGTGGGAGGGTGGGTGGTAGTAGGAAGGAGGAGCAGCCTGCTGCAGAGTGAGGGACTCACGGAAAACCCTCTACTAGGGCAGTGCACCTGTGGTTTGCAGGGTTTAGCTCCTCAGCTGTTCTCATGCGCGGGACTGGTATTGAGGGCCTGTAGCTTTTCCTCACTGAGGGTGCCAGCTGTTGGTGGGTCTGTGAATCTGGGGTCTGGACGGTGGTAGCCCCCTATGTGGGGGCTCCAAGTCCATATTTTCCTTCTGCACTGCCCTAGTAGAGGTTTCCCAAGAACTCTGCATCTGCAGCAGGCTGCTGCCTGGAAACAGTGGGAGGTGGGTGTGGGAGGCAGTCCCTTCACCAATGGTTAGGCAGCATGTGCTTGATGCTGTCTTCATGATAGTGCGTTCTCATGAGATCTGGTTATATAACAGGGTGTGGCACCGCTTTCCTCTCTCAGTCTTGCTTCTACTCCTGCCATTTGAAATGTCTCCTTGCCCCTTGGCATTCTGGTAGCTATGAAGTGCCTTCAAGGCCCTTTCCCCTTTTCTTGGCAACCAGCACTCAGCTTCTTTTCATGCAACTATCTGGAGCCTTCATGAATTTTCCCCCTGAAAGTGGACTTTTCTTCTTTTACCACACTACCAGGTTGTGATAAAGATAGCTGACAATGTAGAACCAGGTTCAGAAGTGGGTAAAAGACAGAGGTCAGGAGAGTTGGGAAAGCTTGGAAGACAGCAAGATGAGGAAAATTTGACCGCTGTGGAGAACTGTTAAATTCTTGCGATCAGAAGGCTGACAGAAGGATAAACACTGAAGTCCAGACTTAAAGGGTCTCAGATGAAAATTAGGAATTTCCTGTGAACAGGAGCCATGGTTACATTTGATTGGCCTTAGCAGAGAACGTGGCTGCACGGGGACCCTGCCCTGGACATCTATGAAACTATGAATTTGGGGGTGATGATTTCGGATGTACCTGGTGGAATGAACATCTAGGCAGCCTAGCGAGGTGTCCTGTCTGCATTGAATAGCCTGTGTTCTTATGCGTGACCTAAGAAATGACTTCAAGTTGGAACTTCTATTGAAATGAGAAGTGGAGACCTAAAGTTTGGAAAATCTGCAGCCTGGCCAAGTGGTCAAAAAGAAAAGCTGGTTTTCCGGGGGAAAATTGAAGAAGGCTTAGAGTATCTGCATAAAAAGAAGCCCAGTGCAAATAGCCAAGACAATGGGAAAGAGGCCTCGAAGGCATTTCATGGTCCTCTGCAGCAGCCCTTGCTGTCACAGGCCCTAGGGCCTGACAGAGAAGAATGGTTTCCTGGGCAAGCTCCATGGCCCCATTGCTGTGTGCATCCTCAGGACACTGCTGGCTGCATCCCTGTAGTTCCAGCTCCAGCCATGGCTCAAAGATGCACAGGTACAGCTTGGGTTACTGCTTCAGAGGTGGCTCCAAGCCTTGATTGTTTCCATATAGTGTTAAGCCAGCAGGTGTACAGAGTAAGAGACTAGAGGCTTGGGAGCCTCTGTGTAGACTCCAGAAGATGCACAGAAAAGCCTGGATGTCTAGGAAAGAAGCTTTTCCAAGAGGCAGGGCCTCCTGGGAAACCTCTACTAGGGGAGCAAACAAGGGACATATAGGGTTGAAGCCCCCACACAGGGAGGCATCATTCTCCAAACCCCAGATTCATAGACCCACAAGCAGCTTGCACCCTCAGTATGGAAAAGCTACGAGGCACACAACACCAGCTGTGTCCATGAGGGCCGCTGCAGGGGCTGAACCCTGCAAAGCCACAGGTGCAGATTGGCCCAAGACCTTGGGAGCCCAGCCCTCACACCCCTGTACCATGGATGTGGGACAGGGATTCAAAAAGGATGATTCTGGAGCTGTAGGATTGACTGACTGGCCTGCTGGGTTTTGGACATTCATGTATCCTATGAATCCCGTCTGTGTTTTGTGCTTCTTTCTAGCAGTTTTTTTTTTTTTTTCTTTTGGCTGAGAAGGCTTACCCATTGCCTGTACAATCATTATACCTTGGAAGTAGTGAAGTTGCCTTATAATCCAAAGACTCATGGGCAGAAGGGACTGTAGACTTGTCTCAGATAAGACTTCGGGCTTTGGACACCTGAGTAAATGCTGGAATGAGTTAAGATTTGGGGGACTGCAGGGAAGGCATCATTGTATTTTGCAATGTGAGAAAGACATGAGATTTGGGGGACCAGGGACAGAATAATATGATTTGGCTCTGTGCCTCCCCCAAAACTTGTGGAATTTTAATGGGGAATGTTAAAGGTGGGGGCTGGTGGAAGGTGATTTAATCATGGTGGAGAGTGGATGTTGGATGGGGGGGATGGGGAGAGTTGGAGGGTATTGGAGGGTGGGGAGAGTTGGGGGGTTTTTCGGGGGATGGGGAGAGTTGGGATTGTGGTGGGGTTATGGGTGAAAGGCAGGTGTGGAGGTGGATCCTTCAGAAATGGTTAAACACAGTCTCCTTAATGCTGTCCTTCTGATAGTGAGTTCTCTTCATAATTTTGGAGCCGTGAGACTGAATGAACACTGACCTGCTGGGTTTTGGATGTCCATTGTGCCTGTGGTCCCACTTGTGTTATTTTTCTTGGAAATTTCTTCCGTTTGGATTGAGAAAACTTACCCAATACCTGTACCATCATTGTTCCTTGAAAGAAAGGAGTGTGCTTTTAATTTCAGGGACTCATAGGCAGAAGGGCCTTGTCTCAGATGAGACTTTTAACTTTTCACACTTGAGTTAATGCGGGAATGAGTTAAGGCTTTTGGAAACTTTTGAACAGGTGTGATTGTATTTTACTGTGTGAGAAGGACATGGGATTTGGGGGGGTCAAGGTCAGCATAATATGATTTGGTTGTGTGCCTCTAGAAAAACTCACTTGGAATTGTAATCCCAAATGTTGGAGGTGGGGCCTGGTGGGAGATTATTTAATCATGGATGGGAGGTGTGGGGGTGGAAGAAAAAAGGGGTGGGTAGGGTGGGGAACAGTATGCTGGCTGTAGGGTGGTCGGAGGGTGGTGGGTAGTAGGAAGGGGGAGTAGCCTGCTGCAGAGGCAGAGGCTCATGGAAAACCTCTACCAGGGCAGTGCACCTGTGGCTTTGCAGGCTTTAGCCCCCATGGCTGCCCTTATGGGCTGGGCTGGTATTGAGTGCCTATGGCTTTTCCATACTGAGGGTGTGAACTGTTGGTAGGTCTATGAATCTGGGGTCTAGAGGAGGGCGGCCTCCTGCAGAGCAACTCAAAGCCCTTGTTTTCCTTCTGCACTGCCACAGAACAGGATTTCCAAGAGGCTCTGCCTCTGCAGCAGGCTTCTGTCTGGAAACAGTAGGGGGTGGAGGTGTGTTGGGGGGTGGATCCTTCACCAATGGTTAAGCACCATCTTCTTGATGCTGACTTAGTGATAGTGAGTTCTCATGAGATCTGGTTGTATAACAGGCTGTGGCACCTCTTTCCTCTGTGAGTCTTGCTCCTGCTCCTGCCGTATGAAACATTTCATTGCTGCTTTCCTTCTGGTATGATTGGGAGGCTTCCTGAGTCTTCCCAGAAGCAGAAGCCACCATGCTTTCTTTACAGCCTGAAGACCCATGAGCCAATGAATCCCCTTTTCATTATGACCACACAGAAAATAAGTACTGCAAAGTGGAGCTATGAAATATCTTCAATGACTTTTCCCCACTGTTTTGGCTGTTAGCACTGGGCTTCTTTTTAACGCAAATATCTGAAGCCTTCTTGAAGTTTCCCCTGGTGGAGACTGGAGGTTGGATGGGGGGGAGGATGGGGAGAGTTGGAGGGTATTGGGGGGGTGGGGAGAGTTGTGGGGGATTGGGATTGTGTTTGGGGTTACGGGTGAAAGGCAGGAGCGCCAGGCTGCAACAAAGATAGCTGAAAATGTAAAGCAGGTTCAGAAGTGGGTAACAGCCAGAAGTTGGAGAGTTTGGAGAGCTTGAAAAAAGACAGGAAGATGAGGGAAAGTTGGGACCATTGTAGAGACTTGTTAAATAGTTTTGATTAAAATGCTGACAGAAGGAAGGCCAGGGAAGGCCAGGCTTACAAGGTCTCAGATGAAAATGAGGAACTTAACTGGGAACAGGAGCCATGGTTACTTTTGTTTTGCTGTAGCAAAGAACGTGGCTGCAGGGCGACCTTGCCCTTGAGATCTGTGAAACTTTGAACTTGAGGGTGATGATTTAGTGCATATCTGGTGGAATAAACTTCTAGGCACCATAGCACAAGAGGGATCCTGTCT